>NC_000007.14:145215955-145367470 GCF_000001405.40 Homo sapiens
TCTCTGATGTTAGTTTGTATTTCTGTGGGATCAGTGGTGGTATCCCCTTTATCATTTTTTATTGTGTCTATTTGATTCATCTCTCTTTTCTTCTTTGTTAGTGTGGCTAGTAGTCTATCTATGTTGTTAATCTTTTCAAAAATCCAGGTCCTGGATTTGTTGATTTTTTTAAGGGTTTCTTATGTCTCTATCTCCTTCAGTTCTGCTCTGATCTTAGTTATTTCTTGTTTTCTGCTAGCTTTTGAATTTGTTAGCTCTTGCTTCTCTAGCTCTTTTAATTGTGATGTCAGTTTTAGATCTTTTCTGTTTTCTCCTGTTGGCATTTAGTGCTATAAATTTCCCTCCAAACACTGCTTTAGCTGTGTGCCAGAGATTCTGTCTGGTATGTTGTGTCTTTGTTCTCATTGGTTTCAAAGTACTTATTTATTTCTGCCTTAATTTAATACACCAAATGCTGATTGTATACAAAATCAACATTCAGAAAATATTTACTAATATAAAAATTAGGCTTACTTGTATCCTTCTTATTTTTATTATTTAGATAATTTACAAAAACCCATTCTGCTGCTAAAATGAATATAGATGTTAATTCCTCAGATGTGTGTCTGTTTGAGCATGCCTGTTGCAGTGCAACTCATGCTCTCCTTCATCGTCTGAAAAGAATAACGTTCCTCTTTAGGAGTGTTTGTGAATTAATTTGAGATCCCGTAAAAATCATTTAGGTATGCACCATGGCATCATTTACATGTCAGGACAAATTGTAACTACTTAAAACCAAAACATTGACCAAAGTCATTATAGGTATTACGTAAGTTACTCATAATGTAGCACCACAATAGTTATGCATATGAAAATATTTTGAAACTACAGAGGAGGAATGCATTTGATAGTTTCAAAGTAATATTTCAGTGCCCATCAATTTTTCACTTCTCAGCAATTGATCACTGAAATATATTTATTGATTTAACATGGAGCTTAAGTTCCTCTGTACCCAGGGATTCACATGTCACCATGCACAGAAACCTGAAGGTATTTCAGTCACACATAATGTGAATATGTATAATTGCACGCTTCTGGCTAGCTTCTCTAATTTTCTGTGCTAAGGTTGATATGAGTCATTCGGTTGCTGACATTAAATTTATGTAATGTAAAACCGACCATGAGGTTTTGAGGCTGAGAAGAAAGGGAGCATCATTTCACATAAACATTATCTCAACCTCCTGCTGCTTTCATGAACATATTTTTCTGCATATTTAAAGTTTATAGCAGAGCACGGTTTCAGAGTTTCTTTTCATATTCAAACTGTATAGCAAAGCCACAGGTACATATTAATATAGCAGCTGTAATGTATTTCTAGTTAAGCTGTCATAAAGTCTAGGCTTTTCACATCATCACTTTTGAAGGTCGGCGCCACAGAGAAAAAAAGCCATTTGTACTGGATCACCATAGTGGTCTGTAATACACAGGGTAATAAATATCACAATATATTTCATTTTTATATGTTTTTGATGAAGAGGTAAAAGTGCATCTTCTACAGTAGCTTTTCAGAAATTGCTCATCTGTTTGGAACGAGCATAAAAGAGACTGAAGTTCAGCGTTATTTATTGGGACATTGCCACTCTTCACTTATGCCACAGCTGAGATGAGAAAAGGACACCAATGATATTTCATTTACACTATTGATTTCCCCAGCTTGTCCTATGAAAGTACTGCATATGTATTCAGGATTAATGTGAGAAAATGGAGATATTTTGACCAGCACTGTTTCTGTTTTTTTTTTTTTTTTAAATCATTCTGATAATGTATATCCTTTTGAAATGTAATTGGAGCATCTTTCAGGTGTCACTACTTTCATGACTGATATTTGTGACTACATTAGAAGGGTATAAAAAATCAACTAGTAGTGTGTATATACACATATATGTGTATATAGTTTACATTAGCATAGTTTCTTATAGTAATACGATTTCGAAGAAAAATGTGGTTGTGTTTACTTAGAAAACACGTTACATAGGAGAGGTAAACAGGCATCTCCATCCTCGCTTTCCCTTGGTTTTGCTCCCATTTGACTTTCCTCTTTGGACCAGTGAATTGGACTTATTTCCAAGTAGAGATTACACTTCCCTGTTAGCTAAGCTAATTCTCTTCCTTTTTCCCTTTGGAGGTCTGCCCCATGACAACTTCTGCTGCAAAGCTTTATTCCTCATTACCATGAACATCTACCAGGATGAGAGGAGGGATATTCAGAAACGGGGCTGTGGGGGACCAGCGACTCAGATGAGTGTGCCCTGAATGTGGGGAGCGCAGGAAGGAGTGGGAGAAAGAGATGCTCCAGCGCTTTTGTGTGATTTTGTGTGGTTTACTCCCCCTCTACTATCTCTGAGCCAGATTAAACTGCTGACTCCTACAGCCCCTCTGCTCTCCTCTCTCACCTCTGAGCCTGCAGCATCCAATGAGCAGGAGCCATAGCTGGGTCTAGGAATGGAGACATCCCTTTTGGTCTCTTCCTCTTTTCCCTTCTTATCAATTCTCAAGTCAGGTGCCTGCACCCATTCATGTTTCTTACTTCTTTCTTTTTTTTTTTTTTGAGTTGGAGTTTCACTCTTAATGCCCAGGCTGGAGTGCAATGGCATGATCTCATCTCACCGCAGCCTCTGCCTCCTCGGTTCAAGCGATTCTCCTGCCTCAGCCTCCCAAGTAGCTGGGATTACAGGCATGCGCCACCTCGGCCGGCTAATTTTGTATTTTTAGTAGAGATGGGGTTTCTCCATGTTGGTCAGGCTGGTCTCAAACTCCCGACCTCAGGTGATTCACCCACTTTGGCCTCCCAAAGTGCTGGGATTACAGGTGTGAGCCACTGTGCCCGGCCACGTTTCTTATTTCTGAGGCCTAAGAGTTTCTTTCATTAAAAATGATGGAACAGTGAACAGCAATGGTTTACCTTAAACAGACTATCAAGAGACCCAGAGATGCTTAATAGTGTTTCAATAGTTGCCAAAATGTAGTCTCATAACAATGGTAATTGATGCTGTCTACAGATTAAGGTATTTCCCCACTGATTTCAGCAATTTCTATGTGACCTTGTAGTCTTCATTTAATTTTTGATTAGTACTGCCTGTTCATATGTCACATTGGATATATACTAGTATGAAAACAAGAGAATAATAAACCTATAAATTACTTTCTACCTATAATTTTAGAAACAATGTGAGGTCTTCAGCCAAGCACATGAAGCTTATATATAAATGTATACTTTTAATAACTGATTTTAGAAATATAGAATTGAATTACATTGCAGCTTGCCAAATGAGAAATTTTCAGTGAAATATGGTTGTGTCTATGCTTATGTGCATATGTACACACACGCTTGTATGTATTAAGAAAGAATACATTAGAGGTCTATCCTCACCATGACAATACATAAGCCTTATCAGTGTTATTTCTGAAGTTGGGATTTTTCATTGCCATTCCCGAATGAGTTATTGAGACGACACACAATGAAAACAACAAAACACAGTTTCTGAAGAGGCCTGTTCTTCATGGCTGGTATGTTTTGAATGTTTATTCTGTCTAAATCCCAGTTAAAATGTGTTTCCTAATGTTGGAGGTGGGACTTGGTAGGAGGTGATTACATCATGTTGGTTGGCAGATCCCTCACAAATGGCTTGGCACCATCCCTTTGGTGATGAGTGAGTTCTTGCTCAGTTCATGGGAGATCTGATTGTTTCAGCTGTCTGGAACCTCCCCCTTCTCTCTGCTGCTCCTTTTCTTGCCATGTGACGTGTCTGCTCCTCTTTGCCTTCTGCTGTCATCGTAAGCTCCCTGAGGCTCTCACCAGAAGCAGATGCTGGCACCACGCTTCCCGTATAGCCTGCAGAACTGTAAGCCAATTAAACTGCTTTTCCTTGTAAATTACCCAATCTGAGATATTCATCTGTAGCGATGCAAAAGCAGCCTAATACAAGGGCCTGTTCCAGGGGTGAAAAATTTAATAGAATAGAAAATGAAAACACAGAGCTCATTTGTAAAACGTTGCCTCACGTTTCAGATACTAGCTATGATGAATAATTTTGTGAGTCAACTTGACTGGGCTAAGAAAGTTTCCCAGATAAAGTCAGATTCCTCTCAAAGCATAACATAATATGCACAATTCAAAGGAGACTAGTATTCAATTTCAAGCTCATGGTTAAATCCATGGGCAGAAAACAAGAAACAACACTTTGACCAGGATGCTAAAGTAAGCATACTAGTACTCAAATCTAACGCAGTGTGTTGGTCCACAGCCTGGTTTTCAAACCCAGGAGTCTGAAAATCTATCTTCAGTCGCTCAGAGAGTTCTCTGACTTGTACAATTGGACATCTCTATGACTACTAAATTATGCCTCTATGCTATTTTGTTATTTATGTTAGAATTTATCTTTTTTTTTTTTTTGCAATGATGACATTTAAACTAAAACTTGCCCCCCTTTTTTTTCTTTAATCATATACTTGTCATCCTGGATTATAGATTTCTATTCAAATTGCACTTAACTAATTGCCAGTATATCTGTTTATTTATTCATTTATATTTAATCTGCTTAATTGGGGGACATATATATATATAATAAACTTACCAATTTTAATTTTACAGTAGGTGAGATCTGACAAATGTATGCAGTCATATAGCTAGACCCTCTAGTACTATGCTGCATAGGAAGGGTAAGAGCAGGCACCCTTGTTTTGCTCCTGTTTCTAAGCAGAAAGCATTCACTCTTTTACTAGGACAGAAATGATGTTAGTTGTAGGCTTTCTGTAGAGCTACTTTTTCACTTCGGGGAAGTTTCTTTCAGTTACATAGAATTTTTATCATGATGACTGTAGAATTTTGTCCTGTGATTTTTCTTCATCTATTAATATCAGTAATTAATTTTAAATTTTAACATAATTTGATGAATTATAGTGATTTTTAATTGTTGAACCAACTTTGCATTCAGTAATGAAATCAGTAATGATGCATTGTTTTCTAAAAATATTTCTGAATTGCCAATATTTTGTTGAGGATTTTTGTGATTATTTTCATTATGAAGAATACTCTTTGGTCTTTTTTTTTTCCTCTGGTTTAAATATCAGGATAATGCTCTCCTTGTAAAAATAAACAGTTTCCTCCTTTTCTAGTTCCCAGATAAGTTTATGTAGAATTGGGATTATTTCTTCCATAAGTGTTTGGTAGAATTCAACTCTGAAGCCCTTTGGGCCTAGAATTTTCTTTGTGGGAAGATTAACAACAAATTTATTTAAAATAATAAGTGTTGAGATACCCAAGTTATCTACTTCACCTTGAGTGAGCTCTGCTAGTTTGTGTCTTTCAAGTAATTTATTAATTTCATCTAAATTTTCAAGTTTATTGGGATAAAGTTGTTCATGATGTTTATTATCTTTTTAATGTCTATGCAATCTGAAGTGATGTCCCTTCCTTCATTTGTGATACCAGAATAGCTCTGTAAATTCTTTTTTTCAGATAAGTCTCCCTAGTATTTTATCAATTTTTACAATCATTTTCACAAAGAACTCACGTGGCACGATCTCGGCTCACTGCAAGCTCTGCCTCCCGGGTTTACGCCATTCTCCTGCCTCAGCCTCCCGAATAGCTGGGATTACAGGTGCCCACCACCACACCCGGCTAATTTTTTGTATTTTTAGTAGAGACGGGGTTTCACAGTGTTAGCCAGGATGGTCTCGATCTCCTGACCTCGTGATCCCCCCACCTCAGCCTCCCAAAGTGCTGGGATTACAGGCGTGAGCCACCGTGCCCGGCCGACATGTTTTTTTTTCTACTTGCTTTGTGTTTAATATGCTCTTGTTTTCTTAGTTTCTTCGGGTGCAAGCTTAGTTTGTTGATTTGAAATCATTGTTATTTTTACTGTAAATATGTATTGCTAATATTTTCCCTGTAAACACTGCTTTAGTTACATCCAACAAATTTTAATATATTGTGATTTAATTTTGTTTCAGCTCAATATCTTTCTAATTGCCTTGCACTTCTTCTATGACATGTGTAAGCTAGAATTTTGTTGTTTTCCATTTTTGGGGATTTTACCTATATGTTTCTGTCATTGATTTCTAGTTTAATTTCATTGTGATGAGAAAACATGCTGTATGTTTTCAGTCTTCCTAAATTTATGAAGACTGCTTTGTTTTTTTCCCTTTTGAGACAGGGTCTCACTCTGCCTCCCAGACTGCAGTGTAGCTCAAGTGATTCTCTCACCTCAGCCTCCTGAGTAGCCAAGACTACAGGCAATCACCACCACGTCTAGATAATTTTTTAACTTAATTTTTAAAATTTATTATTATTATTTCTTATTCTTTTTTGTATTGCAGAAACAGGGTCTGTATTGCCAGAACTGGTCTTGAATTCTTGACCTTAAATGAACCTCCTGCTTCTGCTTTTCTCTACTTTTAGCTATAAATTTTTCTATCTTTTGTTTACTTTTTTCTATCAATCACTGGGAGGAATATTGAAATCTTTTAAATTGAAACTGCCAATTTTTGATTTTTCAAATTCAGCATTTAGACCATTTATATTTAATGTAATAATATAGTTTGACTTGAATATACTAGCTTATTATTGGCTTTGTATATGTCTCATATCCTCTTTGTTAAAACTTTTCTCGTTCTCTGGTGCATTAAGTGTTTTTTTAATGATACCATTTTTCTTCACTTTGTGGTGTCTTACTATCAATACCTCATTGTTTTTATTACAGTGATTTCTTTAAGGGTTTTAATGTACATCTTTTATAAGTCTGTCTCCAAGTAATATTGTATCACTGCACAATAGCTAAGAAATTTGTGCAAAATATACTTTCATACCTGCTCTCATTTTATGCTATTGCTGTCAGATATTTTATTCATAAATATGCTAAAATGACCACTATTCATTACTATTATTTTTGCTTTAAATGGCAAGATCCTTTTAAGGTGTGTTTTTAAACTTCTGGGGTTGGTCAACTTTTCATTTTCTGACCTTGCACCAGATAGCTTCTCACTCACTGGCTTTTATCATCACTGGTCAGTAAGTACACATACAACCATATTCTTTTTCCAATCCCTTGCACTTATTTCTAATTTACATTTTTGTATTAATCCATAACTCAGATAATCAAATCAGTTGCTTGAATATTATGTACATAGTTTATTTCAATAGATGCATCTTGTTCTTCTGAAGTTTACCCTTGAATTGCTTTTTAATGCAGTTTATTTTATAAATGTTCCTTTAGGTACAATATGGTTCTTTTTATAAAAACTTTTGCTTAAGTTGAATTTTACACTAATGCCTAATAAAACACTGTCTACACATATTTTGTATTCTATCATGACATGAAGTTTGAACTATACTTGTTAATAAAATATTTTAACAATTACCATTTATGAACAGTTTTGTCTTTGTTGTTATAAGAGCATAACCAGAATGTTTAAATGATTGAATTAGAACTAACTACTAATTTCCTGAGTTAGATACATATCCTGGAATAGATATTTCCAGGAATTTAACGCTTGAGTATAAATTTGTATGATTTTAGCTTTATGAAAAATGAATTAGTTCTTCAAAAGCACTGAACACATTGATTTGAAAATTTGTACTTTATCCACTAGCAGCTGCAGTAAAACACTCCCTTGTATAAAAGTCAAGGAAAACATTTCCTGGAACTATGTTTAAATGAGGAGATTTTTCATTCAAACTATAGCCTGGTCATAAAAAGCTAGGGGTCACATTTACAATAGAACTCTATAATAGGATTTAGTTCAAATAAAGACCTTAGTTATGCCTGGGTATCTTGCTCAATCTGACCATGATTAATGTAAAATGATTTTATTTTCAATATTTAATATTTTTAAGGTAAATTATCTCCAGGCATTATGAGCTGGTATGGCAGAAGGAATATCAACATTTCTTGGAAAATAATACAAAGATAAATCCTATTACTTCTGAATCTGATTCTCTTAGGTATATAAAAATCATACAGGGATGGCTCCATACTTTGAGGCTCATAAAATTGCTGTAGGGGACCATAAACTGGCTCTATGAAGTTCACTTTGTCCCCAGGAGAGACTATGAAGAGCAACACGATTTGAACTATGCTGTGTGTGGTAGAGAGAATTAATGCAGCAGGAAAAAAATCACTTTAAGATTAAATTTAACTTCATAGTAGCAAAAAGTCCAATGTGTGAATAGAAATTAGACATCCATAGTGACTGAAAATGTGACTATTAGTCTCTCCAAAAATAAAATTATGAGCCTGAGAAGTATTTAAAAATGTAAAGGAGAGTAGTGTTTATATCAACAATTAAATATAATATTTAGGAATCTCTAGGGACCTAGATAGAGAAGAAAACCATTTCCACCTACTCTTCTTGCTTCTTGCTTATATTTGACTAATTCCTCAGAATTTTAGGGGACTTTTTTTCTGCTTCTGGGCTTCTAACAGTGAGTTAGTGGGGATAAAAGGGATAGTTTTTATGGCTCTTTCGTATTCTGATAATGAGGAGAAAGGACAATGTAATTATTTTCCTATAAATTGATGATTGAACTTTTTTACTTTTGACATTAGAAAATTGTAGATGTAGTTCAACTTATCTGCTATCACAGGAGATGATATGTGACAGTATTAAAAGATGTCAGAGTACCTATTTTGGTACTACAATTTAGAAATATGTAATTGTTCAGTCTTTTTTAAAACAAATCACAATTTAATGATACCGTTTCTAAAACATAACTCTTTCCAATTTCCTTCAAAAACCCTTTAGGGGAGATCATTCTGCTGTAAAGTGTATGCATTCCCTTTGCCTTCTGAGACCTTTATGTTGTGTAATTTCCAGCTCTCTAGTCTTATTTTTAATGATTTTCTTCATGTGTCCTAAGTTCCAGCAGATGTGAATCATTTCCCCTTCACTCTTTCCCCTTTATGCTTCTGCTGAAGCCATTATTGTTTGGCTTCTCCTCCATTGCACTTCTCTCTACCCGCTGCTCAACACTTACTCCTTCCCGCTGTCCTGCCAAGTACCTCCAAGCAGGGGGCAAAGGGAGAAATTCTCTCCCACAATTCTCCACATTCTTTTTTTGTGGCATTCTGTTATCATCCTGACGCCGTTCTAATAGAAACTCTCTTTCTATCTACCAGTATTTAACACATTGTAGGAACTTAATGAATGTATTTTAAATAAATGCTAAATAAATTGGGAGTTAATATAACATGCAGAAAAAAATAACTTTAGGATTTCTATGGGTAGGAAGCACTTCTTACAGTTTGTCAGCTGCTTTTAGAACTAGTGTTAAAACTTTTCTTGCAAACTGTGGCGCCATAAAACCTAGACAAAAATATAGGTGGATAGGGCTCATTTCTAAAAAGAAATTGACTTCTAAGCATAAAGGAAATGGTTAAATTCTAAAGGAAAACGTATAGTATCTTTGCATATATAAAAATTTTCAAAAATTATTTGTTAAAATGCTATAAACAAAATAAAAAACAGATTGATAAATAGTACAGTAATGTGACGACACTCTTGATAAGAAAAACACATGTTAACTTAGGAGACCCAGTTTTACTCCTAAGTCATCACTGTGACCACAGACATGGGATTTACACCTATTGGGCACCCCTTTGGGTCTTGAAGGAACATCTGTTTTCCCAGAAACATATGGATTCAAAAATAAACCTGGCAGTTATTAGGAAGTAGTAATGGATTTTGAGAAAGTAATTAATTTCCCACTACGGAAGGATTATGATTGACTCTCATTATCTCTCCTGTTCTTTTCTAGGTTTCCAGATATTCTAGTAACCATGAAATTATTACCTTATGATTAGAACAATAATTCTGTGGGTATGTATTATTTTTAAGAAATAAAATCAACTATATTGCATGTGAGATGGCTGCATGAGCCTCTGCAGGAAGTGGAGAGTTATTCTCTTAACTGTAATAGAGTTATTCTCTTAGCTGTAATAGAGACCAAAACAACCTGGCCTCAAAGGCACCCAAAAGAGGGCTGGTAAATTGAGCAGAGGGTCTGAGAATCTCCAATACCTGTTCTGAAATTTCACCATTATTCCTGCTGCTCTTCCTAAGAGGTTTTTAGGAAAACTGTATTTCTTAGAGAGACATATTTTGGGGCAGAAAAATGCAGATTAAATGCAGAAAATGCAGATAAAAAATATGGGGACCTATGTTGCTTTAGTTTGAAAGAAAAGACTTCCACTAATAACATAGATTTGGACAATCCTCAAGTTAGAAGAGCTTTTTCTCTCTCAAAAACTTATGAAATCTTTATCATTTTCAATTTATGTGTGTGTGCAAGTGTGTGTGTGTGCACGGATGCACAAGCCACTTAAACTTTAAGAACTCAATTTCTTTATTTATACAAACAATGGTTGTGTTATATGATCTTTGATGTAGATCCTCTTCAGCGTTCAAGTGTCTGAATTTAAATCATGTATAACAGATCTAATTCTTCCTCTTTCATCCTCTATGTTAAGTAACAAGCAGACACAAGAAAATAAATAATTTTGGTGAAATTACTGATAATATTTTTAGAGTAGTACAATCTATGTTAATCATCTTTCTTGAACTTGCAGTTAAGTCAATAACAAGAGTAATTAAAAGAGTTTGTAACTTTCAGTTCTGAAGTCTCTGAGCCTGCAAGCCTCTGACTATAAGAAATTTTTAGAGAGAAGGCAAAAGTTACCTTCCTAAGACAAAATTCAGTCAACTTTTGAAGTACTGCCCTCTCTGGTCTGCACTCTGACCTTGATTTGCTATAATCATATGCAGGTGTCACCATTTTCATTAGAATGCCTATTTCATTGGAATGCAACCTGCAACCTCAGGGTAACTGATCACTATGGGAAAGCATTTTATGAGCATTTTTGTCCAAAGCCTTGTACTTGGGCAGTGGTAATATGGATGGCTTTTTCTTTTCATTTATTTATTTATATTTATTTTAAATTTATTTTTCCATAAGTTATTGGGAAACAGGTGGTATTTGATTACATAAGTAAGTTCTTTAGTGATGATTTGTGAGATATTGGTTCACCCATCACCCGAGCAGCATACACTCCACCATATTTATAGTATTTTATCCCTCGTCCCCTTCTCACTTTTCCCCCCTAAGTCCCCAGAGTCCATTGTATCATTCTTACAACTTTGTGTCCTCATAGCTCTCACATATCAATGAGAACATGTGATGTTTGGTTTTCCATTCCTGAGTTACTTCACTTAGAATAATAATCTCCAGGGCCAGGCATGATGGTTCGCGCCTGTAATCCCAGCACTTTGGGAGGCCGAGGCAGGCGAATCACAACGTCAAGAGATCGAGACCATCCTGGCCAACATGGTGAAACCCCGTCTCTACTAAAAGAAAAATATAAAAATTAGCTGGGTGTGGTGGCATGCGTCTGTAGTCCCAGCTACCCGGGAGGCTGAGGCAGGAGAATTGCTTGAATCCGGGAGGTGGAGGTTGCAGTGAGCCAAGATTGCGTCAATGCACGCCAGCTGGCCAGTCTGGGCAACAAAAGTGAAACTCCGTCTCACAAATAATAATAATAATAATAATCATCTCCAGTCTCATCCAGATCACTGCAAATACTGTGTAATTCATTCCTTTTTGTGGGCTGAGTAGTATTCCATCATATATATTGCAATCGTGGAACTGCAAAATTCCATGATTTTGCAATTGTGAATTGTGTTGCTGTAAAAGTGTGTATAAATATCTTTTCCTCTGGGTAGATACCCAGTAGTGGGATTGCTGGATCAAATAGTAATTCTACTTTTAGTTCTTTAAGGAATACCCACACTGTTTTCCAAAGTGGCTCTACTAGTTTACATTCCCATCAGCAGTGTAGAAGTGTTCCCTAATCACTGCATCCATGTCAACATTTACCGTTCTTTGATTTTTTGATTATGGCCATTCTTGCAGGAGTAAGGTGGTGTCATATTGTGGTTTTGATTTGCATTTCCCTGATCATTAATGATGTTGAGCATTTTTCGTGTTTGTTGGCCATTTATATATCTTCTTGTGATAATTGTCTATTCATGTCCTTAGCCCACTTTTTGATGGGATTGTTTCTTTTTTTCTTACTGGTTTGTTTGAATTCGTTGTAGATTCTGGATATTAATCCTTTGTCAGATGTGTAGATTGTGAAGATTTTCTCCCACTCTGCATTATCTGTTTACTCTGCTGACTGTTCCTTTTGCCATGCAAAAGCTCTTTAGTTTAATTAGGTCCCAGTTACTTATCTTTGTTTTTATTGCATTTGCTTTTGGGTTCTTGCTCATGACATCCATGCCTAAGCCAATGTCTAGAAGGGTTTATTATAGACATATCTACTACGCAAATATTGTATGGCAGCATGATTTAACATTTTAAAAATCACCCTGATGATAGTTAGGAATCAATCATAATTAAGTACCGTTACCTTACAGCTGCTTTATAATTTTTTTCGTGGTCATTCAAAAACTGTGAGAAGTTTATGAAAATGGCTCTAACTCCAGAATGATTGTGAAAAATAAATTTAATCCTCTTTAATTATTGATGTATGGAGAAAGACATGTCTTTGATAAAGGATTGTCACCTTTTTTCTTTTCTTTATGCAGGTCAGCATTTCTCAAACTTCAGTTTTATTTGTTTTCACTGGAATTACCTTCATGAGATCTATCATAGTTTCATTTGTTACTAATTTTTGTTTGTTAATAATTTTTTAAAAGACTCTGACTCTTTTTCCAGCTTATTTTAATAGTAAGCTTTATATTTCCTTTAATAAAAATATTTACTTGGGACTATATATGTATTTTATATAAAATCCATATGTATTTTTATGTTTACCATATATACATGTATACCCACATACATGTATACACACATACATGTATATATGGTAAAAACAAAATATATATATGTAACCAAAAGAGGTTTTACATATGTAATGAAATATAAACATGTATAACTAAGCATGCTATTAATTTTTAAAAACTGAAAACTTTATATTTTCTTTAATAAACATATATAAACTTTATATTTCCTTTGATAATGCTTGAGACATATAGATATATGTATTATATGTAAAATACATATGCATTTTATGTTTATCATATATACATGTGTATATATATATATATACACACACATATACATGTGTGCATGGTAGACATAAAAATACATATGTAACCAAAACAGGTTTTACATGCATAATGAAATATAAATATGTATAACCAAGCATGCTATTGACTTTTAAAAACTGAAAAACATTAAAACAACATAATACATGTAATTAATTTACAAAATTTCAGAGCTAAAAATTAATTCTTCAGTGAAGATGGTGCAGAAAAATAGAGTTTGTTAGTCATTAATAATTATACAGTACACTTTCACTTATTTCAAGATGAAAATGGGGTTTAAAGTTAATTATGCAAAGGTGTTTTAATTTTTTTTTTTTTAAAGATGGATTCTCATGCTGTCACCCAGGCTGGAGTGTAGTGGTGCGATCTCAGCTCACTGCAACTTCCTCCTCCCAGGTCCAAATGTTTCTCCTGTCTCCGCCTCCTGACTAGCTGGGATTAAAGGCACGTGCCACCACGCTGGGCTATTTTTTGTATTTTTAGTAGAAACGGGGTTTCACCATGTTGGTCAGGCTGGTCTCAAACTCCTGATCTCATGATCCGCTCACCTGGGCCTCCCAAAGTGCTGGGATTACAGGCGTGAGCCACCGTGCACGGCCTAAGGTGTTTTTAAATTTTTAATGCCAATCAGCATATCCATTTAGCAGGGAAATATAACGTGTATTTTAAACATAACTCCAATAGAGTTGGATATTAAAAGTTAATTCTTAATTATAAGTATTTTTAAAATTTTTTATTTTTAACACTTTTAAACTTTTAGTTTCGGGGCTTCCCTGTGCAAGTTTGTTGTGTAGGTAAATTGCATGTCTTGGGGGTTTGGTGTACAGATTATTTAATCATGCTGGTAACAAGCAGAGTACCCAATAGGTAGTTCTTTTATCCTTACCTTTTATCCTCAAGTAGGCCTCAGTGACCATTGTTCCCTTCTTGTGACCATACGTACTCAATGTTTTTTTCCGACTTATAAGTGAAAACATGCAGTATTTGCTTTTCTGTTCCTGTGTTAGTTTACTTAGGATAATGACCTCCAGCTCTATCAATGTTGTTGCAAAGGACATGATCTCATTCTTTTTTAAGACTGCACAGTATTCCATGGTAAATATGTACCACATTTTATTTACCCAGTCTACTGTTGATTGGCATCATGGTTGAATCCATGTCTTTGCTATTGTGAGTAGTGCCGTCATAAACATACACATGCTTGTGTCTTTATGGTAGTATGATTTACATTCCTTTGGGTATATATCCAATAATGGAATTGCTGGGTTGACTGATAATTCTGTTTTAAGTTCTTTTAGAAATCACTAAACTACTCTCCATAATGGCTGAACTAATTTACATTCCCATGATCAGTGTATAATCCTTCACTTTTCTCTGCAACCTAATCAGAATCTGTTATTTTTTGACTTTTTAATAATAGCCATTCTCACTGGTATGAGATTGTATCTCATTGTGGCTTTGGTTTCCATTTCTCTAATGATTAGTGATATTGAGCATTTTTTCATATGCTTGTTGGCCACTTGTATGTCTTCTCTTGAAAAGTGTCTATTCATGTTCTTTTCCAACTTTTTAATGGGGTTGTTTGTTTATTGCTTGCTAATTTGTTTAAGTTCCATATAGATTCTGGATATTAGACCTTTGTCAGGTGCATAGTTTGCAAATATTTTCTCCCATTTTGTGTCTATTTATTCTGTTGATAGTTTCTTTTGCTGTGCAGAAGCTCTTTGGTTTAATTAGATCCAATTTGTCAGTTTTTGCTTTTGTTGCAGTTGTTTTGTCATCTTTGTCATGAAATCTTTGCCAGGTCATATGACCAGAGTTGTATTTCCTAGTTTATCTTCCTGTGTTTCTATAATTTTAGGTTTTATATTTAAGTCTTTAATCCATCTTGAGTTTATTTTTGTATATGGTATAAGGAACGGGTCCAGTTTTATCTGTTGCATATAGCTAGCCAGTTATCCCATCACCACTTATTAGATGGGAAATCCTTTTCCCAATGCCTGTTTCGTTGACCATGTTGAAGATCAGATGGATCTAGGTGTGTACTTTTTCTTGGCTCTCTAAAAGTGGTTTTTTTCAACACATTTTTATTTCAGGAGGTCATCTGAAAAAGATTCTGGGTCTGTTCTTCAGAACATGTGGCTATTTAATAATTCCCAGTCTTGTCAGCACCAAATTCACAATGTTCTGGATATTTGAAACAATTTTTGATAAGTTAATAACCAGGTAATTCAAACAATTATATTTGTTGATTGGAGAATTGAATGAATGAAGGGAAAGATTTACTCCCAGGGTTCTGTTTTTTAAAAAATGAGCCAGGTGCTACACTCATGACCTCATTGGTTAGTTCTCTTATTCATACCATTTCACTGATTCTCAGCTAGGGGACATGATACATGCAGCCTAATATAGCTTGTGAGTCTCAAAGCCAAGACTAGAGCCCAATGATAATAGATCTCAAGCCTCTCTTGTAATAGCTCAACTCATCTACCTCTGAGAAAGGTAAAGGGGATACAAGGACTTGACCCTTGCCTTCTGAAAATACTTGATCTGGGTTCCAGCATTGGCTGCCAGGAGCTGACCTTGCTTAGACTGGTGCTGCTCTGCTGCTCTTTGGCCATCTAATCTCGGCTGGCCCAGGCCTGCTCTGAAAGCTCTAAAGCAGGGTGGCAGGCAGGACGCTGTCACAAGTTCATGTATGTGTGTGTGTTTGTTTGCTTGCGTGCACTGCTGGATCAGGCAGAATAAATCAGAAAATACTTCAGCAGTCTCTGGACTTTCTTCCTCTTGCATTTGTTCCCTTCCTATCCATTGTTCCCCTCCCTGACTTTTCCACCAGTATGGCCCCATCCTTCCAGCTGAGGCTCCCTTCCTCTCCATCCCTTAGTATATCACTTGTGAAATCACCTAGTTCACCACCAGTGGTGCTTAATTGATACTTCAGCAAACTGCCATCTTATTAAAAACTTTGTGTATAATAAACTTTTGAATATTTCTCATAAACTGGTTTGTAAACCTGTGGATTGACAATATTTGTTGTTTCTTCATTCTTTTCATTATGTAATTTTGGCCATTTTCTTTTTAAAGACAGTTTGATTTCATAAGGGAACTGTAGGTAGGATGATATGACATATATTTTATAACTTTTTAACAGCTCTGGATGTAAAATAAATTATTAGGTGACGGAAAAGTGAGAAGACTGAGATTCATGGTCAGCATGGGGATTGGTGCTATGCCAAGTTTTATCAATCTGTGCTGACCCAGTTCTTTGCTGATATGGACAGTAAGGAGTGTGCTCTATTTATGAGCCTGAAGTCACAGGGTCAGATCAGTTCAGCAGTATTTTAAAACATCACTTTTTCACTCATGGGTTCTCTCTCATATATCATGAGTCCTGCCTGCTCAACCATTTCATGCCTATCAGCATACACAAGCGCTCTCAAACCATCCATCTTAAAATAAATAAAAACCACTCCAAAGGAAAAACAAAACCTCAAATGTCCTTTGACTCCACATAACCCTTCAGCTAACACCACATATTTTTCCATTTTTTAATTGAAAAATCTCTTAAAACTGTGTTCTGTCTTCACTGCCTTCCACTTCTCACATCTCTTAAGTCCATCCAATTTGACTTCCATCCCAATGATTCAAATATACTTGAATAAAATCATCACTCTTTTTTCATGTTGCCAAAATCTATGGGAACCCTTTTCTTATTTTATTAGCTTCTCAGGAATATCCAACCCAGCCCACTATTTCTTCTTTCTTTCAACACTCTTTATTTTTAGTTTGTTATTTATTATTTTTTAAACTTTAAGTTCCAGGATATATTTGTAGATTTGTGTAGGTTTTTTTACATACGTATACATCCATACTCTTCGTACTGGCTTTTGTGATACTGCACTCACTTCGCTTCCCTCATGCCTTGTTGGCTGATCCTTCTCAGTGTTGTTTCTTGGCAACTCTCTTATCAGACCTTTTTTCTTTTTTTCTTTTTTTCCTTTTAAGTCACTGTTTATTATTATACTTTAGGTTCTGGGGTACATGTGCAGAATGTGCAGGTTTGTAACATAGGTATACACGTGCCATGGTGGTTTGTTGCACCCATCAACCCATCATCTACGTTAAGTATTTCTCCTAATGCTATGCATCCCTTAGCCCCCCATCCCCTGACAGGCCCCGGTATGTGATGTTCCCCTGTGTCCATGTGTTCTCATTGTTCAACTCCCACTTATGAGTGAGAACATGTGGTGTTTGGTTTTCTGTTCTTGTGTTAGCTTGCTGAGAATGATGGTTTCCAGCTTCATCTGTGTCCCTGCAAAGGACATGAACTCATCCTGTTTTGTGGCTGTATAGTATTCCACGGTGTATATGTGCCATTTTCTGTCTTTTTTTTTATGGAAAGCACTTCAAATCAGTGCTTTTATTCAGTGCATCTATCCCCATCACCTCCTTTAGATATCTCTTTTTTTAATTGTACTTTAAGTTCTAGAGTACATGTGCACAACGTGCAGGTTTGTTACATATGAATACATGTGCCATGTTGGTGTGCTGCGCCCATTAACTTGTCATTTACATTAGGTATATCTCCTAATGCTATCCCTCCCCAATCCCCCCACCCCACAACAGGCCCCAGTGTGTGATGTTCCCCTTCCTGTGTCCAAGCGTTCTCATTGTTCAATTCCCACCTATGAGTGAGAACATGCAGTGTTTGGTTTTTTGTCCTTGTGATAGTTTGCTGACAATGATGGTTTCCAGCTTCATCCATGTCCCTACAAAGGACATGAACTCATCCTTTTTTAAGGCGGCATAGTATTCCATGGTGTATATGTGCCACATTTTCTTAATCCAGTCTATTGTTGTTGGACATTTGGGTTGGTTCCAAGTCTTTGCTATTGTGAATAGTGCTGCAATAAACATACGTGTGCATGTGTCTTGATAGTAGCATGATTTATAATCCTTTGGGTATATACCCAGTAATGGGATGGCTGGGTCAAATGGTATTTCTAGTTCTAGATCCTTGAGGAATTGCCACACTATCTTCCACAATGGTTGAACTAGTTTACAGTCCCACCAACAGTGTAAAAGTATTCCTGTGTCTCCACATCCTCTCCAGCACCTGTTGTTTCCTGACATTTTAATGATTGCCATTCTAACTGGTGTGAGATGGTATCTCATTGAGGTTTTGATTTGCATTTCTCTCATGGCCAGTGATGATGAGCATTTTTTACTGTGTCTGTTGGCTGCATAAATGTCTTTTGAGAAGTGTCAGTTCATATCCTTTGCCCACTTTTTGATGGGGTTGTTTTTTTTTCTTGTAAATTTGTTTGTGTTCTTTGTAGATTCTGGATATTAGCCCTTTGTCAGATGAGTGGATTGCAAAAATTTTCTCCATTCTGTAGGTTGCCTGTTCACTCTGATGATAGTTTCTTTTGCTTTCAGAAGCTCTTTAGTTTAATTAGATCCCATTTGTCAATTTTGGCTTTTGTTGCCATTGCTTTTGGTGTTTTAGACATGAAGTCCTTGCCCATGCCTATGTCCTGAATGGTATTGCCTAGGTTTTCTTCTAGGGGTTTTATGGTTTTAGGTCTAACATTTAAGTCTTTAATCCATCTTGAATTGATTTTTGTATAAGGTGTAAGGAAGGGATCCAGTTTCAGCTTTCTACATATGGCTAGCCAGTTTTCCCAGCACCATTTATTAAATAGGGAATCCTTTCCCCATTTCTTGTTTTTGTCAGGTTTGCCAAAGATCAGATGGTTGTAGATGTGTGGTGTTATTTCTGAGGGCTCTGTTCTGTTCCATTGATCTATATCTCTGTTTTGGTACCAGTACCATGCTGTTTTGGTTACTGTAGCCTTGTAGTATAGTTTGAAGTCAGGTAACGTGATGCTTCCAGCTTTGTTCTTTTGGCTTAGGATTGTCTTGGCAATGCGGGCTCTTTTTTGGTTCCATGTGAACTTTAAAGTAGTTTTTTCCAATTCTGTGAAGAAAGTCATTGGTAGCTTGATGGGGATGGCATTGAATCTATAAATTACCTTGGGCAGTATGGCCATTTTCACAATATTGATTCTTCCTATCCATGAGCATGGAATGTTGTTGCATTTGTTTGTGTCCTCTTTTATTTCATTTAGCAGTGGTTTGTAGTTTTCCTTGAAGAGGTCCTTCACATCCCTTGTAAGTTGCATTCCTAGGTATTTTATTCTCTTTGAAGCACTTGTGAATGGGAGTTCACTCATGATTTGGCTCCTGTTTGTCTGTTATTGGTGTATAAGAATGCTTGTGATTTTTGCACATTGATTTTGTATCCTGAGACTTTGCTGAAGTTGCTTATCAGCTTAAGGAGATTTTGGGCTGAGACGATGGGGTTTTCTAGATGTACAATCATGTCATCTGCAAAGAGGGACAATTTGACTTCCTTTTCTCCTAATTGAATACCCTTTATTTCTTTTTTTTTATTATACTTTAAGTTTTAGGGTACATGTGCACAATGTGCGGGTTAGTTACATATGTATACATGTGCCATGCTGGTGTGCTGCACCCACTAACTCATCATCTAGCATTAGGTATATCTCCCAGTGGTATCCCTCCCCGCTCTCTCCACCCCACAACAGTCCCCAGAGTATGATATTCCCCTTCCTGTGTCCATGTGTTCTCATTGTTCAATTCCCACCTATGAGTGAGAATATGCAGTGTTTGGTTTTTTGTTCTTGCGATAGTTTACTGTGAATGATGATTTCCAATTTCATCCATGTCCCTACAAAGGACATGAACTCATCATTTTTTATGGCTGCATAGTATTCCATGGTGTATATGCGCCACATTTTCTTAATCCAGTCTATCATTGTTGGACATTTGGGTTGGTTCCAAGTCTTTGCTATTGTGAATAGTGCCGCAATAAACATACATGTGCGTGTGTCTTTATAGCAGCATGATTTATAGTCCTTTGGGTATATACCCAGTAATGGGATAGCTGGGTCAAATGGTATTTCTAATTCTAGATCCCTGAGGAATCGCCACACTGACTTCCACAATGGTTGAACTAGTTTACAGTCCCACCAACAGTGTAAAATGTTCCTGTGTCTACACATCCTCTCCAGCACCTGTTGTTTCCTGACTTTTTAATGATTGCCATTCTAACTGGTGTGAGATGGTATCTCATTGTGGTTTTGATTTGCATTTCTCTGATGGCCAGTGATGGTGAGCATTTTTTCATGTGTTTTTTTGGCTGCGTAAAAGTCTTCTTTTGAGAAGTGTCTGTTCATGTCCTTTGCCCACTTTTTGATGGGATTGTTTGTTTTTTTCTTGTAAATTTGTTTGAGTTCATTATAGATTCTGGATATTAGGCCTTTGTCACATGAGTAGGTTGCGAAAATTTTCTCCCATTTTGTGGGTTGCCTGTTCACTCTGATGGTAGTTTCTTTTGCTGTGCAGAACCTCTTTAGTTTAATTAGATCCCATTTGTCAATTTTGGCTTCTGTTGCCATTGCTTTTGGTGTTTTAGACATGAAGTCCTTGCCCATGCCTATGTCCTGAATGGTAATGCCTAGGTTTTCTTCTAGGGTTTTTATGGTTTTAGGTCTAACGTTTAAGTCTTGAATCCATCTTGAATTAATTTTTGTATAAGATGTAAGGAAGGGATCCAGTTTCAGCTTTCTACATATGGCTAGCCAGTTTTCCCAGCACCATTTATTAAATAAGGAATCCTTTCCCCATTGCTTGTTTTTCTCAGGTTTGTCAAAGATCAGATAGTTGTGGATATGCGGCGTTATTTCTGAGGGCTCTGTTCTATATAGATCTCATTGATCTATATCTCTGTTTTGGTACCAGTACCATGCTGTTTTGGTTACTGTAGCCTTGTGGTATAGTTTGAAGTCAGGTAGCATGATGCCTCCAGCTTTGTTCTTTTGGCTTAGGATTGACTTGGCGATGTGGGCTCTTTTTTGGTTCCATATGAACTTTAAAGTAGTTTTTTCCAATTCTGTGAAGAAAGTCATTGGTAGCTTGATGGGGATGGCATTGAATCTATAAATTACCTTGGGCAGTATGGCCATTTTCACAATATTGATTCTTCCTACCCATGAGCATGGAATGTTCTTCCATTTGTTTGTATCCTCTTTAATTTCATTGAGCAGTGGTTTGTAGTTCTCCTTGAAGAGGTCCTTCACGTCCCTTGTAAGGTGGATTCCTAGGTATTTTATTCTCTTTGAAGCAATTGTGAATGGGAGTTCACTCATGATTTGGTTCTCTGTTTCTCTGTTATTGGTGTATAAGAATGCTTGTGATTTTTGCACATTGATTTTGTATCCTGAGACTTTGCTGAAGTTGCTTATCAGCTTATGGAGATTTTGGACTGAGACAATGGGGTTTTCTAGATATACAATCATGTCGTCTGCAAACAGGGACAATTTGACTTCCTCTTTTCCTAATTGAATACCCTTTATTTCCTTCTCCTGCCGAATTGCCCTGGCTAGAACTTCCAACACTATGTTGAATAGGAGTGGTGAGAGAGGGCATCCCTGTCTTGTGCCAGTTTTCAAAGGGAGTGCTTCCAGTTTTTGCCCATTCAGTATGATATTGGCTGTGGGTTTGTCATAGATAGCGCTTATTATTTTGAGATACGTCCCATCAATACCTAATTTATTGAGAGTTTTTAGCATGAAGGGTTGTTGAATTTTGTCAAATGCCTTTTCTGCATCTATTGAGATAATCATGTGTTTTTTATCTTTGGTTCTGTTTATGTGCTGGATTACATTTATTGATTTGTGTATAGTGGACCAGCCTTGCATCCCAGGGATGAAGCCCACTTGATCATGGTGGATAAGCTTTTTGATGTGCTGCTGGATTTGGTTTGCCAGTATTTTATTGAGGATTTTTGCATCAATGTTCATCAAGGATATTGGTCTAAAATTCTCTTTTTTGGTTGTGTCTCTGCCCGGCTTTGGTATCAGGATGATGCTGTCCTCATAAAATGAGTTAGGGAGGATTCTCTCTTTTTCTATTGATTGGAATAGTTTCAGAAGGAATGGTACCAGTTCCTCCTTGTAGCTCTGGTAGAATTTGGCTGTGAATCCATCTGGTCCTGGACTCTTTTTGGTTGGTACGCTATTGATTATTGCCACAATTTCAGCTCCTGTTTTTGGTCTATTCAGAGATTCAACTTCTTCCTGGTTTAGTCTTGGGAGAGTGTAGGTGTCGAAGAATTTATCCATTTCTTCTAGATTTGCTAGTTTATTTGCATAGAGGCGTTTGTAGTATTCTCTGATGGTAGTTTGTATTTCTGTGGGATTGGTGGTGATATCCCCTTTATCAATTTTTATTGCGTCTATTTGATTCTTCTCTCTTTTCTTCTTTTTTGGTCTTGCTAGCGGTCTATCAATTTTGTTGATCTTTTCAAAAAACCAGCTCCTGGAATCATTAATTTTTTGAAGGGTTTTTTGTGTCTCTATTTCCTTCAGTTCTGCTCTGATTTTAGTTATTTCTTGCCTTCTGCTAGCTTTTGAATGTGTTTGCTCTTGCTTTTCTAGTTCTTTTAATTGTGATGTTAGGGTGTCAATTTTGGATCTTTCCTGCTTTCTCTTGTGGGCATTTAGTGCTATAAATTTCCCTCTACACACTGCTTTGAATGTGTCCCAGAGATTCTGGTATGTTGTGTCTTTGTTCTCGTTGGTTTCAAAGAACATCTTTATTTCTGCCTTCATTTCGTTATGTACCCAGTAGTCATTCAGGAGCAGGTTGTTCAGTTTCCATGTAGTTGAGCAGTTTTGAGTGAGTTTCTTAATCCTGAGTTCTGGTTTGATTGCACTGTGGTCTGAGAGATAGTTTGTTATAATTTCTGTTCTTTTACATTTGCTGAGGAGAGCTTTACTTCCAAGTATGTGGTCAATTTTGGAATAGGTGTGGTGTGGTGCTGAAAAAAATGTATATTCTGTTGATTTGGGGTGGAGAGTTCTGTAGATGTCTATTAGGTCTGCTTGGTGCAGAGCTGAGTTCAATTCCTGGGTATCCTTGTTGACTTTCTGTCTCGTTGATCTGTCTAATGTTGACAGTGGGGTGTTAAAGTCTCCCATTATTAATGTGTGGGAGTCTAAGTCTCTTTGTAGGTCACTCAGGACTTGCTTTATGAATCTGGGTGCTCCTGTATTGGGTGCATATATATTTAGGATAGTTAGTTCTTCTTGTTGAATTGATCCCTTTACCATTATGTAATGGCCTTCTTTGTCTCTTTTGATCGTTGTTGGTTTAAAGTCTGTTTTATCAGAGAGTAGGATTGCAACCCCTGCCTTTTTTTGTTTTCCATTTGCTTGCTAGATCTTCCTCCATCCTTTTATTTTGAGCCTATGTGTGTCTCTGCATGTAAGATGGGTTTCCTGAATACAACAAACTGATGGGTCTTGACCCTTTATCCAATTTGCCAGTTTGTGTCTTTTAATTGGAGCATTTAGTCCATTTACATTTAAAGTTACTATTGTTATGTGTGAATTTGAACCTGTCATTATGATGTTAGCTGGTTATTTTCCTCGTCATTTGACCCAGTTTCTTCCTAGTCTCGATGGTCTTTACATTTTGGCATGATTTTGCAGCGGCTGGTACCGGTTGTTCCTTTCCATGTTTAGTGCTTCCTTCAGGAGCTCTTTTAGGGCAGGCCTGGTGGTGACAAAATCTCTCAGCATTTGCTTGTCTGTAAAGTATTTTATTTCTCCTTCACTTATGAAGCTTAGTTTGGCTGGATATGAAATTCTGGGTTGAAATTCTTTTCTTTAAGAATGTTGAATATTGGCCCCCACTCTCTTCTGGCTTGTAGAGTTTCTGCCGAGAGATCCGCTGTTAGTCTGATGGGCTTCCCTTTGTGAGAAGAAGGCTTCAGACGATCATACTACGAGCTACAGGAGGAAATTCAAACCAAAGGTAAAGAAGTTAAAAACTTTGAAAAAATTTAGACGAATGTATAGCTAGAATAACCAATAGAGAGAAGTGCTTAAAGGAGCTGATGGAGCTGAAAGCCAAGCCTCGAGAACTACGTGAAGAATGCAGAAGCCTCAGGAGCTGATGCGATCAACTGGAAGAAAGGGTATCAGTGATGGAAGATGAAATGAATGAAATGAAGTGAGAAGGGAAGTTTAGAGAAAAAAGAATAAAAAGAAATGAACAAAGCCTCCAAGAAATATGGGACTATGTGAAAAGACCAAATTTACGTCTGATTGGTGTACCTGAAAGTGACGAGGAGTAACCCGACCTTTCTCTCTGGCTGCTCTTAACATTTTTTCCTTCATTTTAACTTTGGTGAATCTGACAATTATGTGTCTTGGAGTTGCTCTTCTCGAGGAGTATCTTTGTGGCGTTCTCTGTATTTCCTGAATCTGAATGTTGGCCTGCCTTGCTAGATTGGGGAAGTTCTCTTGGATAATATCCTGCAGAGTGTTTTCCAACTTGGTTCCATTCTCCCCATCACTTTTAGGTACACCAATCAGACGTAGATTTGGTCTTTTCACATAGTCCCATATTTCTTGGAGTCTTTGTTCGTTTCTTTTTATTCTTTTTTCTCTAAACTTCCTTTCTCGCTTCATTTCATTCATTTCATTTTCCATCACTGATACCCTCTCTTCCACTTGATCGCATTGGCTCCTGAGGCTTCTGCATTCTTCACATAGTTCTCGAGGCTTGGCTTTCAGCTTCATCAGCTCCTTTAAGCACTTCTCTCTATTGGTTATTCTAGTTATACATTCATCTAAATTTTTTTCAAAGTTTTTAACTTCTTTGCCTTTGGTTTGAATTTCCTCCTGTAGCTCGTAGTTTGATCGTCTGAAGCCTTCTTCTCTCAACTCGTCAAAGTCATTCTCTGTCCACCTTTGTTCCATTGCTGGTGAGGAACTGCGATCCTTTGGAGGAGGAGAGGTGCTCTGCTTTTTAGAGTTTCCAGTTTTTCTGCTCTGTTTTTTCCCCATCTTTGTGGTTTTATCTACTTTTTGTCTTTGATGATGGTGATCTACATATGGGTTTTTGGTGTGGATATCCTTTCTGTTTGTTAGTTTTCCTTCTAACAGACAGGACCCTCAGCTGCAGGTCTGTTGGAGTTTGCTAGAGGTCCACTCCAGACCCTGATTGCCTGGGTATGAGCAGTGGTGTCTTCAGAACAGTGGTTTTTCATGAACCGCGAATGCTGCTGTCTGATCGTTCCTCTGGAAGTTTTGTCTCAGAGGAGTACCAGCCTTGTGAGGTGTCAGTCTGCTCCTACTGGGGGTTGCCTCCCAGTTAGGCTGCTCAGGGGTCAGAGGTCAGGGACCCACTTGAGGAGGCAGTCTGCCCCTTCTCAGATCTCCAGCTGCGTGCTGGGAGAACCACTGCTCTCTTCAAAGCTGTCAGACAGGGACACTTAAGTCTGCAGAGGTTACTGCTGTCTTTTTGTTTGTCTCGGCCCTGCCCCCATAGGTGGAGCCTACAGAGGCAGGCAGGCCTCCTTGAGCTGTGGTGCGCTCCACCCAATTGGAGCTTCCTGGCTGCTTTGTTTACCTAAGCAAGCCTGGGCAATGGCGGGCGCCCCTCCCACAGCCTCGCTGCTGCCTTGCAGTTTGATCTCAGACTGCTGTGCTAGCAATCAGTGAGACTCCGTGGGCGTAGGACCCTCCGAGCCAGGTGTGGGATATAATCTCCTGGTGTGCCGCTTTTTAAGCCCGTCGGAAAAGCGCAGTATTAAGGTGGGAGTGACCCAATTTTCCAGGTGCCGTCTGTCACCCCTTTCTTTGACTAGGAAAGGGAACTCCCTGACCCCTTGCACTTTCCAAGTGAGGCAATGCCTCGCCCTGCTTTGGCTCATGCACAGTGCGCTGCACCCTCTGTCCTGCGCCCACTGTCTGGCACTCCCTAGTGAGATGAACCCGATACCTCAGATGGAAATGCAGAAATCACCTGTCTTCCGCGTTGCTCACGCTGGGAGCTGTAGACTGGAGCTGTTCCTATTCGGCCATCTTGGGCCTTTATTTCTTTTCGTGCCTGATTGCCCTGGCCAGAACCTCCAACACTATGTTGAATAGGAGTGGTGAGAGAGGGCATCCCTGTCTTGTGCCAGTTTTCAAAGGGAATGCTTCCAGTTTTTGCCCATTCAGTATGATATTGGCTGTGGGTTTGTCATAAATAGCTCTTATTATTTTGAGATACGTCCCATCAATACCTAATTTATTGAGAGTTTTTAGCATGAAGGGCTGTTGAATTTTGTCAAAGGTCTTTTCTGCATCTATTGAAATAATAATGTGGTTTTTGTCTTTGGTTCTCTTTATATGCAAGGCTGGTTGAATATACTCAAATTATCAGACCTTTATAACCTGGAATGTTTTAGGGCCAGTCCTAGTCCCTCTTCTCTTCTAACTACTTGGTCTCCTAGATGGTATCTTGTCTCCCAGCCTTAAATATCTTCTATTACTGATAATTTAAATCTTTTATTGTCAACTTATAGTCAACTAGCAATAGGGAGTTTTAATAGTTTAGTCTTATAAAAAATGGAACCACAATATCCCATCACAAACTTGTCCCTTTCCAAGTCTTCTGTAATTTCAGTAAAAATGACTCTTTCATCAACTGGTATCCAGTTCTTTATACCTTAAAACCATTTCTCAAATCCATCCAGTCATCTCTATTTTCACTGTCTCCAACCAAATCCGGCTAGGATTATCTTTCACCTGGAAAAATGAAAATAGCCTCAAATCTTATCTTCCTGCTTCTCTTCTAACCCTTCCCAAATCCATTCTTCACATATCAGCCACAGTGGTCATACACAACAGCGGAAGAAAGCATGTTACTCCCTTGTTTTATATCAATTTCTTGTCTTCTCATTTCTCTTAGGAAAACTTCAGACATTTTCAATCTCTTTCAAGCATATTGATAGGCCTGTATCCTCCTCCAGTTTTATCTCATATGGCTCACCATCTCCAATAGTCTCCAGACAATCTGTTCTCCATTCTGATTATTCAGCACACAAAACCTTTCCTACCTCAGAGCCTTTGCAATTGCCATTCTTTATGCTTGGAATGCTCCTCCCTCAGCTCATATTATGGTTGGCTCTTATTTATCATTTTTTCTTGACACATATACCAATGCTACCTCCTAAGAGATTCCTTTTTTAATGACCACAAAGTTCACTTCTCCCACTCTTCTGTTTCACATCCTCTTGTTTATTTTTCTTGAAGTCTTAATCAAAATTTGGAAATGTCTCATTTAGACATTTATTTGTTTGTTATTTGCCTTACTGTTAGTATTTGTGATCAAAATAGGTACCTTGTCTCCATAGTGCCTGAAACATAGTAGGCATTAAGTGTTTTCTGAATCCTGGGTCAAAGGATCTTATAGTTGGCTTTGGGAAAGCAAGAGACATAAAAGCTACAGTATTAGTTGAAGAGAAACATCAAGTAAGATTAAAAAGCAGAGCCTAATTAAGTTCCATGTGAAATGGATGGATAAGAATTTTTATAAGCATTAAAAAAGGGGGAAAGCTTTTGTAAGAAAAAAGGAAATATAGATATTAATTAGAGGGAGATAATGAGAGCCATGTTTTATAAAAGGGGAAATTCAGGATTTTGAAGATATGAATTAAGTAAATAGTTTGACATGATGCAGGATTTAAAGGTGAAAGAGTTGCAATCTTAGGATTAGATTACATTTTTAAGGCTTTAAATGCTAGGTTGAGAAATCTGGACTTTTCATTGAGCAAAGAATCAGTAAAATACTGGGCAAAGAAGCAGTGGTTGGTATGATATATTAGAGGATAATTTAATGAAGCAGTCAATCACAAGTGAAATAAAGAAGAGATGATGTAGAAGGAATGATTAGGAAACTATTATACCGATACATGAAAGCATTGGTTAGAAACAGAGTAGCAGCGACTATGGAATGGAAAGGAAGGAATGCATGTAGAAGACATTTCAGAATAACTGGCAAGAATTGTTGATTAAATATGAATTGAATAATCATGACAGTGAATGAAAGATTACCAGAAGGCCATTGTTGCCAGAGGAAAAAAAAGACAAAATTGAGCCTTGGTCAAATACCTATGTATTTTAAAGGGAAAAACAGTATCATTAGTCACAGGTCATATAGTTGTGTACTTAAAACATTCGGAATAATCTATGAATGCACAATTAAAATTAAAAAGTGAATTTATGTATGCTGGATGTAAAGCCAATATATAAGAATACATTTTAAAATAAATAAACTTTAAAATATATTACACTAGCAGACAACAATAGGCAATAAAATTTAGTAAGATTTCACAAATAACAGCATCAACAAACATCAAATTCCTAGGAAAAAACTGAATGAAAGCTGTGAAAAACCTCTACACAGAAAACTACAAAACTTTATTAAAGAGGAATTAAATAAATGAGGTCATAACCTCTGCTCTTAGATTGTAATATTGTAAAGATATTAGTTCTTCCCCAAATCTATAGATTCAATACAATATCAATCAAAACAAATTTCTGGGAATGGACAAACTTATTCTAAAATTAATCTGGAAAGGCAGAATGGTGCTTGGGCTGTGTGCTGAAGAGGGCTTTGTGCAGTGCTGATAACACCAAGGTTGCAGTGAGCTAACTTGCCGGTGTTTGGTGATGAGTTGAGTGCAGGAGGGCTACATGTCCTGGACGATGAAGAAAGGCAGACAGACATAGCTTATCTGCTTTTTCTTTGTGCCTTCCCCTGCTACTGTCAGCCTGACCTCTTTTCTTTTATTATAACTCCACAGCCATGTGACTTGATCTGGCCAATCAAACACCTGTAAAGTTGATGTTGGTACAGGTTTAAGAAAGTGCTTGTACATTTCTGTTTCCTTTTTCAACATCTTGCCACTACTATGAGAACACATGTAGGCTGATCTGCTGTGGGAATGCGTGTATTAGTCTGTCTGCATTGCTATAAAAAACACCTGAAGTTGGGTAATTTATAAAGAAAAGAGGTTTATTTGGCTCACAGTTCTGAAGGCTATACACAAAGCATGGTGCCAACATCTGCTTCTGGTGAAGCCTCAAGAAACAATCATGGCAGAAAGGGGAGCTGTCATATCACATGGAGCAAGAAACAGAGGTGGAGGTGCCAGGCTCTTTTGAACACCAGATCTCTTGTGAACTCATTACCACAGGGAAAGCACCAAGCCATTCATGAGGAATCCACTCCCATGACCGAAACACCTCCTACCAGGCCACACCTCCAGCACTGGGGATTACATCACAACATGAGATTTGGAGGGGAAAAACATCCAAACTATATTAATGTGAGATGAATTTTTTTTCACATATTTATTTGTGTATTTACATTTAAAGTCTACACACATATAAGCCCTTAACATATAGAAACAGCTCTGAGACACAGTGTTCCCTTTTTTTTCTTATGTCTCTCATAGAAAATAAATGGTTAAGGAGGACTAGAAAAAAACAAACTTAACAGGAGTATGGGACAGACATTGATAGCATGGCTAAGGGGATGCCAAGGAAGTAAAAATACAAATCCATACAAAAATCTTTAATGCTTAATGTATCATTTCAGCTAAGGCCACCTTAGACTCGCTAGTCTCCAGCTCAGCAGCCAGCTAACCAAAGATAGATGAATGAACCCCGCAGTGATCAGCCAAACCTAGCACAGATCAGCAGAACTGCCTATTGACCCATAGACACGTGAGAAGTAAAAATGGCTGCCATTTAAACAAGTTTTGATGTGGATTGTTAATCAATGATAGCTAACTGATATAATGAAGGAGATATAGGACTAAACAAAACACACAGAAACCCTGCCTCCATGTTTCTTGTTCCCCAGCAATAAGTAGGCTGTATGTCAGGTGATGATAAATGCTATGGTAAACTTAAAGGAGTGTAAGATACATAGGGAGATTTGCTTCAACACAGCTAAATTATGTATGTATAATAAATAATATTTCATGTTTAAATCACAAAAATAAACTTTTCCCACAATTTCCCTTTTTTAAAAAATAAACTTTTTACTTTAGAGAAGTTTTGGATTTATAGAAGAAATTGTGAAGATAGTTCCGAGAGTTCTCGTATACTCCATGCCCAGCTTCTCCTATTTCTAACGTCTTATATTAGTATTGCACATTTGTTAAAATTAAGGAGTCATTACTGATAAATCATTAAGGCCATATGCCATTCAGGGTTCCTTAGTTTCTACCTAATGTCGTCGATCTGTTCTAGAATCCCATCCAAGGTCGTGTTATATTTAGTCCCCATGTATCCTTTGGATCATCTTCACTCTTGCAGTTTCTCTGAATTTTCCTAGGTTTTGATGACTGACAGTTTTGAGGAATATTGGTCAGTTATTTTGTGCTATGTTATTTAATTTAGATTTCTTGGATGTTTTTCTCATGATTACAAGGGGGGATCGTGTTCTTGGGAGAAAGACAACAAAGTTAAAGTGCCATTGTAACCACATCATATTGAGTACATGGTATCAACACGACTTATCATGGTTAATGTTAACCTTGATTACCTGATTGAGGGAGTGTTTGCCAGGTTTCTCTACCATGAGGTTACTCTTCTCTTTTTCCTATTTGTATTTTTTGGAATGAAGTTATCATAAGTAGCCCAGAATTAAAGAGTGGGGAGTGATGCTCCATCTCATTGAGAGGGGAGTATCTACATAAATTATTTGGAATTCTTTGGCATGGGAAATTTGTCCTTTTTCTCCCATTTATTAACTTAATTATTTTAATATTAATGCAGATCCCTGAATATTTATTTTCTCTGTTGGGACAATCCAATACTATTTTACTTACTTTGTCGCTTGAATTGCTCCGTCTTTGGCTCTTGACAGCTATTTCATTTGGTTCCTCTGTCCCTTCGACATGCCTCCATAACTGTGTGTGGGTGGGTGGGGTGTGTGTGTGCATTGTGCATCTACTTCCTTTCTTCCTGGCACTGTAAAATGCTTCAAGATTATCTGCTATATTTCCTACCCCAGTTCTAGATTCAGCTATCTCTCTAAGGAATTGAACTCTAGTTTTAATTTTTTTTTAATTTTTTATTTTTTTTAAATTGGAGAATGGAATTAGAACTAAACTCTAGGTGCTAGGTGTGCTTATTGCTATTAGGTTGTTGTTTGCTTCTAGATTCTCAACTGACAGAATAATGGAATATGCGTGCATTGGCAATTGCCTTTTCAGAAATTCAGATTTTTATCTACACTTTTTTGATTATTATAGTTAAAATATATGTATATGGAAAGTAGTTTATTGTTTTCCTATAAGGACATAACCTCTGTAAGTTTGTTATTATAGTTCCCAGTAACTGGAAAGAAATGTTATATCTTCGAGAACAATTCTTAAACTTGCATGTTTAGAAAATATTTCTTCCCCACGCATCATCCTTAATAATGCTTGGTTACTGATTGTTACCTGGTAATGGTATTTAAGATACTATTGAGGCAAGTAACACTGAATAGCTTTCACAAATCCCTTGACTTACCAATTACCAGCTTTTTTGATTAAAACCTTAAAACATCTGTTAAAGAAGACACTTAAGTAAGTGAGCCTGCACAATGCTACTTTTTATATAGCCACTTTAATATAAGGCAATGAGGGAAGAAGTCACTTTTATAGAGTAGTCAAGGAAGGACTCCCTGAAATCTTGAGGGCATATCAGAATACAAACATATGTATATTTTAAAATAGCATGGACTGGATTAAAAAACTGGAAGATAATAAAACTCTTTATTAAGCAAATCAAAGATGAGATGTTTCACAGAAGAGATTATAATAACAGAGTACTATAAGCATCAAAACATTCTAGCTCAATGTGTTAACATTATATTTTTCTCTCTGAAATACGTGTAAAATACTTTTGGGTTCCACAACTAAAGACTGTACTGAACTAAATGTTTGCATTTTCATCTCGAGTTTGTAATTATTAATATGTGCATCATTTTTTTAAGCAAAATGTTGATAAGCTCTGAAATACTAAGTTGTATAGTTCATTTTAAACCTATTAAATTGCCCCAGCATGTTATGTTACATGAGTTAAAATGCCATTTTTTATTATTATAAAATATTTTAGTTGTATAAAAATGTATAGAGATTAATATAATGAACAGCTTTGCAGTCAACACGGAGTTTAAGAAAAAAAAGTCATTACAGATATAGTTACTGAACCTCCTTTTTTTCTTCTATTTCATAAGCTTTTCCTCCAGACTTAATCACTATTCTGAATATGGTGTTTATCACTTTTTCATGCCCTTATGCTTTTAGGGTAAGTATGTGGATCCATAAATATCATATATGAAAGTATTTCATCTTTTCATACTTTAATATATCACTCTGTATATATCATTCTGGAACTTGCTTTTTTCATCCTCAATTATGTTTTGAAACTTGTTTGTATTTATTCCTAATTCTTCATAGGGGTTAGTAAACCAGAGGCTTACTGCAGGTTAGTAAACCTGTAGGCCAAATTGAGATTGCTTCCTGATTTTGTAAATAAAGTTTTATTGGGATATGAGCCATGAAACATGGCTTTGTTTATGGATTGTCTATGACTTCTTTTGTGCTACAGTAGCAGAATTGAGTTATTGTGACAGAAACTGTATAGCCCACGTAGCCTGAAATATTTACTATTTGATCTTTTACTGCAAAAGTTTGCTGATTTCTGCTCTAGCTCATGCAGTTTGTTTGCTATACTGTATTCTAGTATATGGAGATTATGTAATTTGTGGACTTTATTTCGTTTTCCCCCATTCCTAGGTAATTACACTTTTTCCAATTTAAATGTCTCCAACTTTTCTTCCTGTACAGTTCCTGACTTTCACAGGCTGTCTAGTTTGATGTATCTAATATGATATGAAATGGGAAATTATACAACTAGACTTATATGAGGAAGAGAACATTGAGAATTTTGGAAATATCTGTAAACATTACCTGTATTAGTTTAGGACATATATTACAGCATAGAAGTCTTGTTTTTCTCATAATTTTAATTCCTCATCTATGTTCCTGATGGTTAAGGTTTCCTTTGGGGCAGTAAAGTGTTCCTGTATTATGTGCAATGAAACATGGCAGAGGCTTTGGAGAATGTGCAACTGAAGACATGTAGGTTGATCCCTCAGCACATAACCCATCCCCCTTGGCAAAATCTCAACTCTGGCTATAAGACAGATACAAAAGTGTGACCGTCTAAAGAAACCAATGAAATACTCACAGCGACAGATGCCCAGCGGAAACACTTCCTGAAATAAATTACAGATTGATGGTGGAACTGGAAAGAGAGAAGTTAATGCTGAAAAAAAAATCCTTCAGCTGTTCTTTAAAGGATCAAGAGAATGAAATACACCAGCCTGCTGGTGAACATGCACAGCAAGACCTTCCCATCGATCATCTTGTGTTCTGAAAGGCAGCAACATTATTCTGATTTCAGAATCTTGCGTTTCCTTAATGAGTTCTCTGCTGGAATATCACAAGCTGTTCTATTAAATCTGTTTCAGGAGACTTAAGTAGGATTTGTATTAAAACGATTGTATATCTATCATTTTGGTAGAAGAAAAAAAATGAGACTGGCTGAAGGAGAATGCAAAGTGGCTTCCCTAAACCTGAATTTATTCTATTTTTCAACCTTCTCCTCACACAAGTGCTTCCTAATGTAGGCTGAAGCCATCCATTTAAGCATGACTTATTCATGCTCCAAAATGATTGATTTAGACAGCCAATGAAATGCTGAACTCCACATTCCTATTGCTTGACATACTTGCACTACAGAAACTGATAGTTTAAAGCAGCAAGATTGACTATATGGAGGATCAGCCAGAATGCCAAGATGGATCAGTGACAGCCACGTTGACTTTTAAATACAGTTATGACCATAAAAGTGAGTGGGTAAGAATGGTATTATGAGAGTCCATTTATCCCTCAAGTGACTTCTGTGGAGGATTTGTTAAGTTTAAGCCACAAGAAGAAATAGTTTTCTTACCCAGGAGTTGGCAAAAGATATGATGATATTGGTAAACTGAGATCTACCTTAAATATCATGGCCAGGTCTGAGGTATTTGTAAATAATCCAGCACGAATGAGGGTGTTAAAAGAGGCTGAAGCTAGTTTTTCCAAACGTGCACTTTTAAGGCATCATTTCTAGGGCTAATTTATTTTTAATTTTCAGTCAAAGTGAGAACAACCTATCTACAAATCCTATGAACAACCTACAACTACCTACAACCTATCATCAAATGCTAAGGTGTGGATGAAAGGATGTTATGTTTATAAGAAAAATTAACATTTTTTTGACAAGAATTTAAAACATAACAATCCAACTATAGGTAATATTTAACTACTGTAAAGGAAACTTTAAAAGGCAGTTGACTTTGTTTCTTGTGGGACTTTCATAAGGAAATTTATAATTAGCCAAACATATTTTAGAATTGTGGAGAAAATAAGCTCACCTTTTCCCTCCCTCCCTCCCTTCCTCCCTTCCTTCCTTCCTTCCTTCCTTCCTCCCTTCCTTCCTTCCTTTCTTCTATCCCTCCTGCTTCCCTTTCCTTCTTCCCTATCCATTTCCTTTTTCTCTTCCACATTTATTCCAATATTTATTGGATACCATGTATATGGGAAAATGTGCACTAAGGCTCTGGAAGGTGTGTACATGTGCAGTATGCAAATGTATGTAAATATATATGTATTTTTGCATATATGTGTTACCCAGCCTCTCTTCTTCCTGGCTTATTCTTGTGTTTTATCAGTAGCCAAATATTCTATCACTATTGATACTGGATATATTAATTGATGAGATACGCAAGAGGTATGTATATCTCTTGTCTTCCCACAGTTTGTACCTTGTGATTTTCCTAGGGACTTTCCATTTAAATGAGTAGCCCAGGGGATTATTTTAAGGACAGAAAACAGTTCCTATATAATAGTTTGTAAAACCAGTGGAAAAGCTAAGCAGCATATGCGTCTTATCCTGTTTGTGTTGAATCTATTAAGAAACGTTTTGTGTCGTCACAGGTATGTGCTGAGTTTTTATTCCCAGCATCATAAATTGTGCTGACATTAGGAAGGAGAAGGCAGGAGAATGGCGTGAACCCGGGAGGCAGAGCTTGCAGTGAGCTGAGATTGTGCCACTGCACTCTAGCCTGGGCGACAGAGCAAGACTCTGTCTCAAAAAAAAAAAAAAAAAAAGGAAAAGAAGTATCGGGGGTGGTCTCTATTCCGCAGACTATAGAAGTATTTGAGAAGAGAAGATTGTATTTAAAAAGTAAATAAAAATATACTGTTTTTCCATAATTATTCTCTAAGTCAAGACAATACACAATTTTGTTCATATCATTTTGCCCAAGAGGAGGAATTTGAAAAGGAGCTAATCGGTGCTGTTAAGTGCCATATTGGAGATTTTAAACTGAGAAAATATCACTGAGTTTGGTTCTTAGATAGTTGATCTTTGATGAGATAATTTCAGCATAAGCCTGGAGGCTAACAAAGAAAATCAGATTGTGCTATTTCTTGACTCAAGGTGGAACCAACTCTGTGGGTGCAATTAACGAACCAGAGCTTTGCCGTAGGATCAGACTTCAGCTAGCCTGAAGGTGGAAACGCATTCTTGTTGGATTTTTTTCCGTTTCCTTATCCTCTTTCTCACTTCTTTCTCTGAGGGCATTGCATTTAATAAATCAATGGAAAAAGAATCCCCATCTCAGACTCAGCTTTAGAAGACAGAGGTGTATAAAGGAGCCAGGGGACTGCAGAGATACAATGATTGAAATTAATTTGTGGTGGAGTTTATCAGAATATTATGATGGTTGCTGGACTCTTGTTTTATCTAACTTTTCTAGCTGTCCACAGCATTTGGAAGTGGCAGCAGTGAAAACAGCTGGTAGGTTAACAGGATAAAATGCAAGGAAATTGATTGTTCTGGAATGGAAAATATGAAAAAACTGACTATAAGATGTAGGCTGGAGGAGAATATGTAAAATCTAATGGTAGAGCTGTTAGGAAAGAGGGCTAAAATGAGCAAGCAGAAACTCTATTACATCAGTTATATTTGCTCTTGCCTTTACCTATAGATTATCCTCAGTTTTTCAAGACTCTTTGAAGCTTCAAAAATTCTATATACCCCAAAAGAGAAAGAGCATGCCTTTGAGATATAACAGTATTAGCTGTTTCCAGCAGATTTGTAAACAATTCTTTACCACAGGAAAGATGAAGTCATATATTTATAGCTTGATGTTGTAACTATATTCAAAAACATCCAACAGATAACTGGACCAATTACTAGAATACAGGAAAAATCAGCATCAGAGCTTACTCTTTTTCTTTTATTTATTATACTAAAAGTTTGATATTTGAGCTAATATAATCCCTGCATGGGGTCGAGTGTTTTAAACATTCTGATGGATTCCTTCCAAAGCAAATATGATCTCTTTAAAAAGGTATCCTCCCCACTCCCTCCTCCCTAAAGTCAGGGCTGCTTTGGGAGAAGAAAATGGATCTGATTTCATCAGGGATTAACAGTACTTTTATTTTTGTTTGTTTCCAAATGAGGGCAATACCCTCATATGTTACTATCTATTGAAGGATGGTTTCCCATTGATTATTAAGAAAATTTATGCAAAAATATGCTGCAGGATAGAATTTTTGAACACATATTAGGATAGAAAGTAGAACAACAGATAGTTATTGTCATCAACTATCTGTGAGCTTGAGCAATTACTTTATTGTCCAATATCCTCAGTTTCTTCATTTGAGCAATAAAGATGTGTTGGTCTCTTTTAGAATTTATAGTTAATTTATTGAATATTTACTAAAGGGATATTCTTTCTGTGCATTTGACGAGTAGCGCAAGTTCCTTGCCTCAAGAAGCTCATTGTGTAGAAAGATGCTCTCTATGAATCAAATCAACAACTTGAATTTTCAGAAGAGACCAGTTAACATACTTTCAGGGGAGAAGGAATACAAGGGTATTTCAGGCATATGAGGTGACAGAGAAATGAGCATAAAGATTATAGCAGCAAGAAAACTACAAACTACTCTTCACCTGAAGTCCTGAAACTTATTCCTGAAAAACTGCAAATACATCTTAAAATGTAATGCAAACTGGACTCAGATTAATAATTGAGAGATGTCATTAAAAAACTAGATATAATTATATAATCTGATGGCATTGTGGCCAGTTTTATTTATTACTATCAAGTTTTAGTAGGTTTACCTCTTATTTTCAGCTACAAGGACATTATCATAACTGTTGAGTATTGCTTGTCAATCTGCTCTCCTTAGTGAGATTAAAATATAGACAAGGTATTCACTTTCTGTTGAATTACATTTGTCATTTTGAATTTTTTGATAATTTCCATAAAACTCACAGTGCTTATCATAAAACACGATTGTAGTTTCTTCTATGTGTTTCTGAAGGAACACATTCTATTTACTGCATTTAGGAAAGTCCTTAATTTTTACTCAAGTCTGGGTCATATTGTTTTGATATGATTTTATATAAATGTGAACTCTGTTGTTAACACGGTATTTTAAACATAAACACAATAAAACTTAAACATTTGGAAATGAAAACGGAGGTGATACAATTTGCATTGACATATGCTTATACCTAAGAGTTCTAAAGAAAACAGCTTGAGAAATAGTAAGATACAAATTCATGTACTTCAAGTTATGTGATTGGATCATTGTCAATATTGTATGATATTCTAAGAAAATTTCAAAAAGACAGAATTTATTTAAAGTATCACAGAAAAGCTACTTTTTAAATATCTTGAGTATGCTATAGTATTTGGTGAGAATAGAAAGTAAAATTAATTCAAACAATACCAGGTAGAGTGAAACATCCAAAGATGTAGAAGAAAACGTTGTCCTTGAGATGCTTTGAGCTAACTGGAGAAGACAAAATGTCAACATAGGAAATGCTATATTCTTGGTACAGATCTCAAATGCTACGGAACCACGAGAAGAAGACGTCATGGGACTGGAACAGTCAGGGAGGCTCAAGAAAGTTCAATATCTTAAGGTCATTAGGGAACATTATTTGACTGGATGAAATGTGAAATAATGGAAACTACAAATACTATCAGGATTGTAAAACGGTAATGTGAGCAAAGAAGGGCTTTAAATTCTAAAGAAGGGCTTTAAATTCTAAAGATTATGAATTAATAGCATTGACAATAGCGCTGCCACTTAGTCATCCCTTAATGTGTGGTATGAAGAGTACTATGTTATTATCTATTTTAATCCTCATAATAGGCTTATTATTCTCACTTTTCAGATTAAAAAACAGAGGCTCTAAAAGTGTTTATATTATTTTCCTAGATGTCACAGCCCAGAAGTGATGAAGCTGTCATTTGATTCTAAATGTGTCTGGCTCTAATTCTCTCCATTTTTTGTTGTATAGCTTCTCTTTGAAGATTTTTTTTTTTTTTTTGAGGCAGAGTTTCACTCTTTTTGTCCAGGCTGGAGTGCAATGGAGCGATCTCAGTTCACTGCAACCTCTGCCACCTGGGTTCAAGCGATTCTCCTGCCTCAGCCTCCCGAGTAGCTGAAATTACAGGTGCATGCCACCACACCCAGCTAATTTTGTATTCTTAGTAGAGATTGGGTTTCACCATGTTGGCCAGGCTAGTCTTGAACTCCTGACCTTCAGTAATCCACCTGCCTCGGCCTCCCAAAATGCCAGGATTATAGGCGTGAGCCACTGCACCAGGCCCTCTTTGAAGATTCTTAGGCAGAGTAGAGCTATGCCATATTGCTAATCAAGGACGATTACTTATTCAGTGCTGTAGATGATGAATTGAAGGGAAAAAAGACAAAAGATAAGGATGGTAAATGGAGCACATTGGCTGTACTTCTTTTTTTTTTTTTTTAATCTCAACTTTTGTTGTAGATTAAAGGGTACACATGCAGGTTTGTTACCTGGGTAAATTGCATGATGTTGAGGTTTGGGGTCCCAGCAATCCTGTCACACATGCAGTAAGCACAATACCCAACAGGTTCTTCTTCAGTCCCTTCACTCTACCCCAAATAGTGATCGCTTGTGTCTATTGTGTCCATCTTTGTGTTCATGTGTATTCAATATTTAGCTCCCACTTATAAGTGAAAACATATGGTATTTGGTTTTCTGTTCTTGCATGAGGTCACTTAGGATAATGGCCTCCAGCTCTATCCATGTTTGTACAAAGGACATGATTTCATTCATTTTTATGGCTACATAGTATTCCATGATGTATATGTACCAGATTTTCTTTATGGAATTCACTGTTGATGGACACCTAGGTTGATTACATGTCTTTGCTATTGTGAATAACACTGCAGTGAACATGTAGATGCATGTGTCTTTTTGATAGAATGAATTGTTTTCCTTTGGGTATCTACCCAGTAGTGGGACTGTTGGGTTGAATGGTAGCACTATTTTAAGTTCTTTGAAAAATCTCCAAACTGCTTTTAATAGTGACTGAATTAGTTTGCATTCCCACCAACAGTGCATAAGCATTCCTTTTTCTCTCCAGCCTCATCAACATCTGTTTTTTTGTTTTTTTGTTTTTTTTACTTTTTAATAATCATCATTCTGACTGGTGTGGGATGATTTCACATTGTAGTTTTGATTTGCATTTCTCTGATGATTAGAGATGTTGAATATTTTTTCAGGTTTGTTGGTTGCTTGTATGTCTTCTTTGAAGAAGTGTCTGTTCATGTCCTTTGTCCATTTTTTTTTTTGTTTCTGAGACAAAGTCTCGTTCTGTTGCCCGCGCTGGAGTGCAGTGGCATGATCTCGGCTCACTGCAGCCTCCGCCTCCTGCGTTCAAGCAATTCTCCTGCCTCAGCCTCCTGAGTAGCTAGGACTACAGTTGCGTGCCACCATGCCCAGCTAATTTTTTGTATTTTTAGTAGAGACAGGGTTTCATCATGTTGGCCAGGATGTCTCGATCTCCTAACCTCGTGATCTGCCCGCCTTGGCCTCTGAAAGTGCTGGGATTACAGGCATGAGCCATTGCACTCTGCCCTTTGTCCAATTTCTAACTGGACTTTTTGATTTTGCTTGTTGATTTAAATTCCTTATGGATTCTGAGTATTAGATCTTTGTTAGATGCATAGTTTGCGAATGTTTTCTCCCATTCTGTAGGCTGTTTATTCTGTTTGTAATTTTTTTGTTGTGTGCAGAGGCTCTTTAATTAGGTCACAATTGTCAATTTTTGTTTTTGTTGCAATTGCCTTTGAGGACTTAGCCATAAATCCTTTGCCAAAGCATATGTTGAGAAGTCTATTTCCTAGCTTTTCTTCTGGATTTTCATATTTTGAGTTCTTATGTTTAAATATTTAATCCATCTGGAGTTAATGTTCATATATAGTGAGAGGTGTGCAGGTTTATTTCTAGATTCACTGTTCTGTTTCTCTGGTCTATGCATCTGTTTTTATACCAATACCATGCTGTTTTGGTTACTGTAGCCTTACAGTATAGTTTGAAGATGGATAATGTGATGCCTCCAGCTTTGTTCCTTTTGCTTAGGATTGCTTTGGCTATTCAGGCTGTTTTTTGTTCCAAATGAATTTTAGAATAGATTTTTCTAATTCTGTGAAAAAGGATGTTGGTATTTTGATAGGAATAATGTTGAATCTATAAATTGCTTTGGCAAGTATGGCCATTTTAATGATATTGATTTTTCCAGTCCATGCGCATGGAATATTTTGTCATTCATTTGTGTCATTTCTGGTTTCTTTCAGCAGTGTTTTGTAGTTCTTCTTGCAGAGGTCTTTCACTTTCTTGGTTAGATGAATTTCTAGGTGTTTCATTTTCTTTGTGCCTATTGTAAATGGGATTGTGTTATTAATTTGGTTCTTAGCTAGAATGTTGTTGGTTTATAAAAATGCTAATGATTTTTTTACATTGATTTTGTTCCTGAAACTTTACTGAATTTATAAATTCCAGGAGCCTTTGGCAGAGTCTTTAGGGTTTTCTATATATGTAAAATCATATTGTCATCAAAGAGAGATAGTTTGACTTCTTCTTTTTCTATTTGGATGCCTTGTCTTTGTTTCTCTTGTCTGATTGCTCTAGCTAGGGCTTCCAATACTATGTTGAATAGGAGTGGTGAGAGTAGGCATCCTTGTCTTGTTCTAGTTCTCAAAGGAAATGATTCCAGCTTTTGCCCATTCAGTCTGATATTGGTTGTGGGTTTGTCACAGATGGCTCTAATTATTTTGGAGTATTTTCCTTTAATGTCTAATCTGTTGAGGATTTTTATCATGAAGAGATGTTGAATTTTACTGAAGGCTTTTTTTCTGTATCTATAAAAATGATCATATAGTTTTTTATTCTGTTTATGTGGTGAATCACACTTACTGATTAAAGTATGTTGAACCAACCTTGCATACCAGAAAAGAAAAGCCCACTCGATCATGGGAAATTAACTCTTGATATGCTGCTGATTGCTAGTATTTTTTGGGCATTTTTGCATCTACATTTATCAGAGATATTGTTGTTTTTTTTTTTTTGTTGTGCCTCTGCCAGGTTTTGGTATCAGGATGATGCAGGCTTTATAGAATGAGATAGAAGCACCTCTCCCTCAATTTTTTTGGAAAAGTCTCAGTAGGATTGGTATCACTTTTTTGTGTATCTGGTAGAATTAGTCAACAAATCCATCTGGTTCTGGGGTCTTTTTGGTTGATAGATTTTTTTTATTACTGATTCAATTTCTGAACTTGTTACTGGTCTGTTCAGGTTTTCACTTTCTTTCTGATTCAATCTTGGGAGGCTGTATGTTTCTAGAAATTTATCCATTTCCTCCAGATTTTCTAATTTGTATGCATAGAGGTGTTCATAATCTTGTCTGAGGATCAAAATCTCACATATCAATACTAACTCTGAATGTAAATGGTCTAAACTCCCCACTTAAAAGACATAGAGTGGGCCAGGCATGGTGGATCACACCTGTAATCTCAGCACTTTGAGAGGCCAAGGCAGGCAGATCACCTGAAATCAGGAGTTTGAGACCAGCCTGGCCAACATGGCAAAACCCCATCTCTCCTAAAAATACAAAAATTAGCCAGATGTGGTTGCACACATCTGCAATCTCAGCTACTGAGGAGGCTGAGGCAGGAGAATTACTTGAACCCAAGAGGCAGAGGTTGCAGTGAGCCGAGATCGTGCCACTGCACTCCAGCCTGGGCAACAGAGCAAGACTCCATCTGCAACAAACAAACAAAAAAGACATAGAGTGGCAAGCTGAATAAAAAAGCAAGACCTAACTTTTGTTATCAAGAGACACATTTCACATGTAATGACACTCACAAGCTCAAACAAAGGGGATGGAGGAAGTTCTATCAAGCAAATGAAAAACAAAAACAAAAAGAGCAGGAGTTGTTATTATTTTATCAGATAAAATAGATTTTAAATGAACAACAATTGGGAAGGACAAAGAAGGGTACTACATAATGATAAAGGGTTCAATTCAACCAGAAGACTTAACTATTCTAAATATATATGCACCCAACATAGCACCACCCAGATTTATAAAACAAGTTTTTCTTTACCTATGAAAAGACTTAGACAGCCATACAATAATAGGGGGGACTTTAACACCCCACTGTCAGTGTTAGACAGATCATTGAGGCAGAAAACTAACAAATTCTGGGTTTAAACTTGACACTTGACCACTCAGACCCTAATACATATCTGCAAAATACTGTATCCAACAGCAACAAAATATGCAGTCTTCTCATCCATACATCAACATATTCTATGCTCAACCACATGCTTTGCTGTAAAGCAAATCTTAATAAATTTAAAAAATCAAAACCATATCAAGCACACTCTTGGACGGCAGTACAATAAAAATAGAAATCAATACTTAGAATACTATTAAAACTACACAAAAACATGGAAATTAAATGATTCGATTCTGCATAACTGAAATTTATTCAATGGTGAACAACAAAATTAAGGCAGAAATCAAAAAATTCTTTGAAATTAATAAAAATAGAGACAAATTTACCAAAACCTTTGTGATACAGCTAAGGCACTGTTAAGAAAATTTATAATGCTAAATGCCTTCATCAAGTGGCTAGAAACATCTCAAATTAATGACCTAACATTGCAACTAGAGGATCTAGAAAAAAACAGAACAATCCAACCCAAAGCAAGTAGAAGAGAAGAAATAACTGAAATCAGAGAAGAACTGAACAAAATTGAGACCCATATAAAAGTCCATACAAAAGATCAATAAAACCAACAGTTTGTTATTCAAAAGAATAAAACAAATTGGTAGACCATTAGCTAGATTAACAACAACAACAAAGAAAAAGAGAAGATCCAAATAAACACAATCAGAAATGACAAAAATGACATTACAACTGATCCCACAGAAATTGGCTATATTTCTATCTTTTCCATTTAATTCTTTTTAGTTTCAATCTCTCTGCTGAAATTACCTATCTAATCTTGCATGTAGCCTACCTTTTCCATAAACACCTCTAATATATTAATCACAGTTATGTTAAGTTCCCTGTTGCATAATTACAATTCTGTGTCATATCAGAGTCTTGTTTCAATAATTGTGTTGCCTTTTCAGACTGTACTTTCTTGCCATTTTGCATGCTTTGCTATTTTTGGTTGCACAAATATAGGGAAATAAATAATGAGGTACATAGACCTTTAGTATATAGATTTATATTAACCTACTGAGGAGTGCTACATTTGAAGTATATTATTGCTGTGGTCACTAGAGGCTCCAAATTACTCTAGCAACCTTGGCTTTTGATCTTTCCTTTGTGTAGCTTTCCCAGCTGTACTGGAGGCTTGTTAACATGGTGCTTGGGTGTTCTGATGAAATTTCCATCTTTAGAGTGCACATTTGGCCTGACTCTTGTGGGTTGTGTCTTCACAAGCATCCCTCTCCTGGTGGAATGGAAATCCTCCAGGGTTCTTAGCCTTTGTTTTAGAAGTACTCTCAACTGAAGATTAAAGCTTTTATGTGACCTTAGGTGATACAGGGATATTGAAGCTGGTTAGAGCTGCCTTCTGTTAGCTGATATGGAATTTTACCTATGCTTTCAGGTGGTATCCTTTACCCTGTAGACTGAGCTTTTTGCTTCAAAAGGGACAAAGGTCTGGACAGATTTTACAATGATTGCTTTCTACATTCCCCAACTAGTACCACGGGGTACCTTTCTCCAGTTTCTCTGCTATTCTGCCTATAAAAGTCTGAAGAGAAATCCTGCAAAATGGAGAGGAACTTCCCAAGGCTTCAGGCCCTGGGGGTTTCATATTTTCACTCCAGACAACCTATTCCTAAGAATTTTTCGTTATAGTTTCTACTGACTTACATACATGGCACCCAGTAGAAGCTTCTTGGCCTTGTAAACAAATGCTTGGCTTCTATGTTTCCCTGGAGGTTTCTGTCTCTTTTCAGGATGGCCATTTGTCCTATGACATTAGCTCTTTAATGAGTCCATGAAAGATCATTAATTTGCTGCATGTTCATCTTTTTTATTTTGTTGTAAGGATAGTAAGCTTTTTTAGCTCACTACATGTTTATGCTGAAACTGAAGTCCTCAATCCATTTACTTAAACCTATTTGAGCCTCATATTTATAATGGGTTTCTTTTGAGCAATATATAGTTCGATGTTGCTTTTTAAATCCAACCTGATAATATCTGCCTTGTAATTGGGGTGTTTGGAAAATTAGTATTTATTATGATTATTGATTAGGTTTAAATTTACCATCTTCCTGATGTTTTCTTATCAGATCTGTTTTTTTTTCTTCTTTTCTGCCTTCTTGTGAGTTCTTTTGGGTTAATCTTGTGTTTATAATGATTGTATTTTATCTTCTTTGCTTGTTCAATATGACTCTGTTTTTAATTTTATTAATTACTTTAGGATTCATATTCTACAGATGTAACTTATCCTTATCTACTCTCAAGTGATAATATAGCAATTATACTACTTCACATATAAGGATTCTGTAGTCGTATACTTCCATTTCTTCCCTCCTGGCCTTTGCACTATGTTGCCATGCATTTTACTTCTACATAGGTTATACATCTAGCAATTCACTATTATTATTTTGTTTTAGTCAGTTGGTTATCTTTTAGAGATATTTAAATAATAAGAAAAAAATCACCTATGTTAATTTCTTTATGTAGATACAAGTTACCATTTAATATCATTTTTTTTTCTGCCAGGTAAACTGGCTTTAACATTTTTGTGCAACAGGAATTCACTGTTGGTAAATTCTCTCACTCTTTAGTATTCTAAACCAGTCATGGTTTCACCTCATTTTTGAAAGCTACTTTTTTCCAGGTATAAGAGTCTCAGATGACAAGTTTTCTTTTTCCTTTTAGTGCTTTAAAGGTGTTTACTGTCTTGTCTTTTGCATTGTTCAGAAACAAAAAGCTGCTACCATTCTTATTTTGTTTCTTTGTATGTAACTTTTCCATTTCTATGGCTGCTTTAACATTTTAACCTTTATCAATGTTTTTTAACCAATTTGATTGTGAAGTGTCTTGGCATTATGTGTTTGAATTTCCTTGTTCTGCATGTTCATTGAGCCTCTTGAATTTATGAGTTCATAATATTCATTAAACTTAACAAAATTAATAATTTTTTATTCAAATATTTTGTCTCTCCTTAGTCCTCTTCTTTGACTATTCCAATGTATGATATACATTTAAATGTGTGTGTGTGTGTGTGTGTGTGTGTGTGTAGTCATTTAAAGTTGTCTCAGAGCCACTAATACTGTTTATTATTTTGGGGGCTTTATATCCTTTTTGTGTTTTATTTTGGATTGTGCGATTTCTATATAAATTTGTTTACCAGCAATGTTTAAGATTTTGCTATCCTAGTTAGTATTTTTATTGTTGCTTTTATCTCACACATTGTGACTTTCATCTCTAGAAGTTCAATTTGGGTCATTTTTATATCTTTGCTTAACTTTTTGAACATATGGAATACAGTTAAGTACCTTTTAATATCCTTGTTTGCTACTTCTAACATCTGTGTCAGTTCTGGACAGGTTTCAGTAGATTGAATTCTGTCCTCATTATTTGTCGTATTTTCTTGCTTTTTTCATGTTTGTGAATTTTCGACTGAATGTTAACTGTTAACTTTTATGATGTTAGATGTATGTGATGTTTGTATTCCTGTTTGTGGCCTTATCCTTTATTGTGGGTTGCAGTTAGCTTACTTGGAATTAATTTGATTGTTTCTGTAAAGCATATTAAGTTTTGTTCTGATCAACAGCTGAGATATTTGTGGTTTATTTTATTCCTTTTTTGGCTTGCTTTTAAGCTTACATAAGGCATATCTAGTGTGGTCTTTAGTGATTTTTTTTGATTACTCGGATGTGCTAATTAGTTGTCACTAGTGAATGTGATCAGTGACAAGAGAACATCATACTCTGATTGTCTGGAATCCCCATCCTGTATAAATTCTGGAAACCATTCAGGACTCAGGTCTACAAGCCTTGTTTACCTAACCTCATGGAGTTTCACTCTTCATGTACACTTCTTATTAGTTTGCAAAGACTTAGGGGACATTCAGAAGATTTTTTAGAGCCCTTTGTCTGCATGGCTCCCTCTTCTCTTGAAGTCCATCTTACAGCATCTACCCACCTCAGACCCTTTGAATTCTGTGCTCTGTCTGGAATTTCCCTTCCTGCTCCAAGGTTCAGAATGTAAAGTTGGGACAAACGTAGGGCTCATCTCATTCATTTTCTCTCTTACAAAACATTAAAGTTCTGTGCTGTGGCTTCCTAAAAGTCTGTAATCAGTGGTTTTATATATTTTAACCAGTTTTGTTATTAAGTTAGTAGAGTAAATCTGGTGTTTGTTACTCCATCATAGCCACTAGTAGGCGTTAAAAAACAAAAGCAATCTGCAACATTATACTTGTCTAGAGCTATTTCCCAGTGGTAGACGGTGGTTGCCTCATACTTATCATAGGGCCTAGAGTGTGGGAGAGTTCCTCTTCATTTCCTTCTTCACCCTCAGGCCCAGGCAGCCGTCTGTAGTTGCCTGTCAGAGAACATCTCTCAGCACTCTAGTTTCTTCCCCAGGGGTAGATGTCAGCCACTATACATGCAGTGAAGACCAGGGAGTGAGAGTGTTTTCCTTGGATTTCTTATTCCGTCCTTAGAATTAGAAGCAGTACAATGTGTCTTAAAGGAGGTCTCTCTAGGCCGGGCGTGGTGGCTCACACCTGTAATCCCAGCACTTTGGGAGGCCGAGGCGGGCAGATCACAAGTCAGGAGATCTAGACCATCCTGGCTAACACGGTGAAACCCCATCTCTACTAAAAAATACAAAAAATTAGCCAGGCGTGGTGGCAGATGCCTGTAGTCCCAGCTACTTGGGAGGCTGAGGCAGAAGAATGGCGTGAACCTGGGAGGCAGAGCTTGCAGTGAGCAGAGATCATACCACTGCACTCCAGCCTGGGTGACAGAGCAAGACTCCAAGACTCTATCTCAAAAAAAAAAAAAAAAAAAAAAAAAAAAAAAAAAAAAAGAGGTCTCTCTAAATTTTTACCGCCCTACATCCGGTCTTTCTCATGAGCACTCAGTAATGGCTCATGAATGCCAATTGACATAGCTTGCAGACACCTGTCTGTGTATTCGAGGGCTTTTAAACTGCTAGGTAAGCTTACAATTGGCGTTTAAATATGTGTTAAAAGTTCAGCTGCTTTCTTTCTGAAGTAGTCCCACCTTATCTTTTGAGGGATATGTTCCAAGACCCTCAGTGGATGCCTGAAACCTTGGACAGCACTGAACCCTATATATACTATGTTTTTTTTTCTATATATGCATATCTACAATAAAGTTTAATTTATAAATTAGGCACAATAAGAGACTAACAATAATTAATAATAAAATAAAACAATTATACTAACATAATAAAAGGTATGTGAATGTAGTCTCTCTCAAATATTCTCTCAAATATTTCTCTCTCAAAATATCTGATTGTACTGGACCCTGGGTAACTGAAACCAGAGAGTGAAACCACACATCAGGAAGGACCACTGCACCTGTTTCTATGGTGACTTCCTTCTTCTATGTCAGCTCTGTCAAAGACGAAACTCTTGTATGCCCTTTTATTTTCTAGTAGGGGCTGTCATTCTTCTTAGTTCATTTGGTTATTTTGTGACATCAGCTCTCTGATGGGCTTAAAATAATCATGATTTTGGAAGATATCCAACTTTTTCTTGTCAGTGTGGCAATAATTTTCTTTGGTAAAATTCCACATGTTAAATGGAAGCAGAATCTCTTCAATCACTCTCTTAACTCTGCTGTCATTAACCCATCATCTTGTCAATCTCTACTCCGAAGGCATGTGTTTGGGGATTTTTTTTTTCCTTTTCCCTCCCCAGATCACAAGGAGATTATTGATTTATTGATTTATTCATTAATTCAACACATTTTGTTGAGTACTGAAGCTCTAAGAATGTGTGATACTATGCAACATAAATAAATAGGTAATTCCAATCAATATTAAACACTGTAATTAAAGATTCCTGAGTACTACAAGAACAATGTAGAACTCAATGGCAACAACATGTAACGTAAGACATGGTATGTTGAATGTGACTTTATAAAGGCAAATACATGTAAACTAACAACTGAGTAGGAATTACTCAGGTGAAGGAGTGGGTAGTGTCTCAGCATAGCTAAAAGCATTGCTAAAGTGTATGAGAAAAAAGGTGGCTTTTTCAGGAGAGAAATTAAATGTGGTTAGAGGAAAGCACATTTGAGAAAAGAGAGGAGGAAAGAGTAGCAAAAACTGTACCTAATTTGTAACCACAGACCACCTTATGAAAGGGTAATTAAATTAAGTTAAAAAGGTTGGGTTTCAGCAACAAAGAGGGTACTTTACACTTGACACTTGGCAATAGCACCATCTGAATCTGTTTCTTCTTGTCTTCTTGTTTTTCTTCCCTATTCCTTGTCCTGCTTCTGATATGATTCCTTAATGGCTTTTAGTTCGGAAAGAAGAATACTTAAAATGTGAATAAACACATCACAGTACTTCAAGTTGAGAAAAGAGTGTGTGGGAAATCATGGAAGAGTTAATGTCTTCAAACAACCACTCAGTGTAGTTGGAGGATGGGAAGATTTTAGGTTAAAACTGGCAAAATACATTAGAGATAGCTCACAAAGAGACTATCATTATTATTATCATAAAAGAGAAAACATAAAGTGAAATTTTTTATCTTCATTTTTAAGTGTACATTCCAGTAGCATTAAGTATATTTCCGCTGTTCTGAAAACCTCCACAACTTTTTCGTCTGCAAATCTGAAACTCTATACTCATTAAACAACAGCTCCTCTTTCATCCCTCCTCCCAGCTGCTGCTGACCAACATTCTATGTTCTGTTTCTGTGAATTTGACTATGTTAGAGGTCACCTATGTGTGGGATTATACAGTATTTGTATTTTGTGACTGGCTTATTTTCCTTAACATAATGTCGTCAAAGTTCATCCGTGTATTTATTTCCCTTTTAAGAATGAATAAAGTTCTGATGTATGAATAGACCACATTTTGTTTATCCATTCATCTGTCCATGGTCATTGGGGTTGCTTCTACCTGTTGGCTATTGTGAGTAGTGCTGCTATGAACATGGGTGTTCAAATGTCTTTTTGAGATCCTACTTTCAATTCTTTTGAATACATACGATGACTTGGGATTGCTAGGTCGTATGTGCTATGGTTTGAATGTGTCCCTTCCAAAATTCAGGTGTTGCCAATGTAATAGTGTTAAGATGTGAATCTTTTAAGAGGTAATCAGGTTATGAGGGTTCTTCCCTCTTGAATGGGATTAAACCCTTTATAAATGAGGTTTCATATAGCATTTGACTAGCTTGCCCTTTTGCCTTTTACCATGTGAAGACACAATGTTTCGCCATTCTTGGGGATGCAACTTTCACCAGACTGTTGAACCTGCTGGTACTTTGATCTTGGACTTCCTAGTCCCCAAAACTGTGAGAAACATAATTTCTCTTCTTAACATTTTACATTGCTCAGTCTTAGGTACTTTGTTGTAGCAGTGTAAAATGGACTAAGATAGAAATTGGTACCAACAGTTGGGTGTTTCTGTAACAAATACTTGAAAACATGGAAGCAGCTTTGGAACTGAGCTAATGGGTAGAGGCTGGAACAGTTTTGAAGTAAATACTGGAAAATGCCTGAATTGCCACAAATGGAACATTAAGAGCATTTCTGGTTAGGGCTCAGAAGGAAAGAGCTATAGAAAAGGCCTCAGTTGTCTTAGAAATTACTTATATATGCCCATGACTATAAAGATTATTTTGATGAGTTCTCAGATATGAGGAACAAGGTATTGGAAACTGGAGGAAAGGCCATCCTTGTTATAATGTGGCAAAGAACTTGACTGAATTGTGTCTGCATCCTAGGACTTTGTGTAAGGCAGACCTCAAGAGTGATGAGCTAGGATATTTAGTGGAAGAAATGTATGAGAACCAAAGTGTTCAGGATTCCGCATGGCTTCTCTTAATTGCTCATAGTAAAATGAAAGAAGAAAGAAATAATTTAAAGATGAAATGTATAATTGATAGAGAAATAGAATGTAAGGTCTTAAAAATGTGTAGCCTGGCCTGATAAAGAATTAAAAAAATGTATTTAAGAGAGAAAAATTAAGAGTCTGGCCAAGCAAATTTTTGACAAACAGTATTAGTATGGATAAAAGGAAGTCAGGTTCTACTCCTTAAGACAATGGAAGTCAGGTTCTACTCATTAAGACAATAAAACCAAGGCATTTTAGAGATCTTTAAGGCTGCCATTCCCCCTACAGGCCCAGAGGGCCAAGCCCTTGGAGGCAGAAGAGTGTTAGGGGAAGAACTCAGGGCATCTGTGGGATCTTGGGGCCTCTCTGTCCAGGACAGCCTCTGTTCCTCACATTTTGGCACAGTACTTCTCAGCTGCCCTAGCTCTAAGATAGGCTAGCTCAGGTGTGGCTTGGACCATCACTCCAAAAGTACAAGCTATAAACCTTGGGCATGTTAATATGGTGCTCATTCTGCCAGTATGCAGAATGGACAAGCTGTAGAGGCATGGATGCTTCCACCTAGATTTCTTTTTTTCTTTCTTTTTCCTTTTTTTTTTTTTTTTGAGCAGTATTTTTGGTAGGGTATGGCATTAGTTATTGTGTTAAGTCATTTCTGTCTCCTACAAACTTTGTGATATTTTGCACATTTTAAAATCTTTTTGGCTGGGCATGGTGGCTCATGCCTGTAATTCCAGCACTTTGGTAGTCCAATATGGGTGGATTGCTTGTACTCAGGAGTTCAAGACCAGCCTGAGCAACATGGTGAAACCCTGTCTCTACCAAAAGTACAAAAATTAGCCAGGTGTGATGGCATGTGCCTGCAGTCTGAGCTTCCACCTAGATTTCAAAGGATGTCTTGGACAGCCACAGGGCCCAGGCAGAGAACTGTCACAGAGGTGGGTGTGCCAAAGAAAGGCCTCACTATGGCACACAGAGCATTTGGCTAGCTTGTCCTTCCATCTTCTACCACATGAGGATACGGTGTTCCCTCCAGATAGTGCAGCTCTCACCAGACAGCCAAACATGTGGACACCTTGGTCTTGGACTTCCCAGACTCTAGAACTGTGTGAAAATACATTTCTGTTCTTTGTAAATTACCCAGTCTCAGGTATTTTGTTGTAGCAGCACAAAACAGACTAAGACAATATGTTAGTTCTATTTTTAATTTTTAAGAAGCCTTCATACTGTTTTCTATAATGATGGCACCATTTTACAATCACATCAACAGGGCACAAAGGTCCCAATTTCTTCTCATCACCATCAGCACTAGCTGTTTTGATTCTTCCTTCTTTCTGATGAAGTTTGCTATTTAACCCGTCTAATAAATTTTAACCTTCATTATTGTATTTTTCCGGCACAGAATTTTTATTTGGTTCTTTGTTAGCATTTCCATCTGTTTGTTGATATTCTCATTTTGTTCACACATTGTTTTTCTGATTTCATTTAGTTGCTTTTGTTGCCTTTTAGCTCATTAAACTTTTTTATGACAATTACTCTCAATTGTTTGTCAGGCAGGTTATAGATCTATTTTTCTTTAGGGTTGGTTTCTGGAGTTTTATTTTGTTTCTTCAGTTCGGCTATGTTTCTCTGTTTCTTTGAATACCTTATAATTTTTATTTTTATTTTTTGGCTGAAATGTGAACATTTGAAAAAACAACTCTCTCTCTCTGTCTTTGCATACTGGCTTCCTACAAAGAAAGATCTTCACCAATCCACTGGTTGGAGGTTCTAGGACTTCTCAAACCTTTTCTAATCTCTTCCTCCCCCTTGTATCTGTCTGCAGAGCTATAACTATAACATGATGCTCACCACGGTTTTCAGCAGCTTCCAAACTTTGGCACAGATCTAGTCCATTTTCCATATCAGGTAAGACAAAAACAATTCCCTTAGGTGGTTCCCAGACAAGCCAGAATGTTGAATGCATGGTCCACATTTTCCATCCTGAGGGAGAAGTCCAGTACATAAGGTGTCCTCCTAGTTGTTCTACTCTATCCCACATGGGGTGAGGAGCATAAAGGACATGCCAAATGGACAATTGTATTTGTTTATTTATTTATTTACCTTTTTTTTTGCTGGAATCCCTTCTTGGTTAACAATAGCATGGGCACTGTAGCCTCTCCATTAAACTGTAGAATTCTCACAGTGGCATTCTGGCCCATATATTGCTGTTGACTTAGTGTCTCCATGGGAGGGGGAAAAACCCTGTAGCTTCCTGGTTTACTGTCTTGACTTCCCCAGAAGAACTATTATATCACGGTAAAAAGTAGAAATTTGTTCCTGTAAAAATAAAGGATAAGAAGGTCCTACAGAATGAAGTATAAAGATTCAATCACAATTGAAAAATGGGACTTCTGGTTCTACACTCAATTTGTGGATGAAAATGTCAAGAAAATTAAATGACTTTCCAAAGATGGCCAGTGCGTAATCTCCATATTCTCACTTCTCTTCCTTTTACCATGTTCTATGGTAATCTAAATAATACTTTGTACACTAATTTTAATAAGTAGTCAATAAATGTTTAAGAAACTAAAGTTTTCATTACTTAAAACACTTTTATTATGGTTATATGCTCAAATCACTAACTAAATCTTATAAATTCACATCTTTAGAAATCCATTGTTTATTGAATAATTCCAACAATTGTAGATATTATATTTCTGGTTTTAAAAATACATCTAATGTATTTTTGTATTCTTTGGTTTTAAAAATACATCTAATACATCTTTTATTTTGTTTCAACGACTTTGCTAACACATTTGAGGACTTCTCCATACTGATAGATTTAATATTCCTTAGTGTTCATTACTAATAACTGAAAGGCATAGGTCTAGAATTCTAAAGTACTGAATGTGCATTACTTGATTAGAGTTCTAACACATTTTATTTTAAAGCCTCTTTCTACACAGAGGTCCGGGAGCAGGTGAGCCTCCAGCAGGAGCAGGCGTTCAAGGACGAGGCCCACACGCAGTGGCTCACCCTGCAGGCCTTAGAGGAAGAAGCTTCTCCAGGCTGATGAGTCATCTCCTGCCCTGGAGGGGATCAGGAGAGTTGAGGAAGAACTGGGCGAACTAAAGGCCGTTCTCACAGACGCGGGAGGATGCGGGGGGATGCGGGGGGATGCGGGGGGATGCGGAGGGATGCGGGGGGATGAGCGGAGAGGTGGGGGGACGCAGGAGGATGAACCTTCAAACACTCAGACGTCTTAGAAACCCTCCGGAAAAAGACTCAGGGATTGGACTCCAAGCTCCAGCACGTGGAGGATGGAGTCTGTTCTCTGGAGACGGCTTCTGTGCCCCAGACCGAGAGCCTGCAGTGCGCCTTGTCCAAGAGCCAGGAGCTGACGCAGAGCCTGGCCGCCCTGCAGGGGCGCCTGGTGGGCCCAGGGTCCTCGGAAGCAGACAGGGCTGGCCTGGCAGTGCGGTGAGGAGCCTGGCCAGGCCCAGCTGGTGCTCCTGGGTGCTGCAGATGAGCTGAAGTGTGTGGGCAAGCTCCTAGCACACGCTGCCCAGCCAGGACCAAGCCCAGGCTGCCCGTCTGCCCCTTCAGGACTTCCTGGACCGTTGTTCTTCTCTAGACAGCCTGAAATCCTCAGCCAGCCTAGTGCAATTGGACTTGAAAATGCTCAGGGCTGTCGGAGACAGTTTGCTTGTGTACCCGGCAGGCCACAACAGAACCAACGAGAACAGCCTGGGATCAACCAAGGGTTTACTAGATGACCTGAAAAATAATCTGGATGGGTTGTTTGTAGAGGTTGAAAAGATTTATGAAAATGTCTCAATGAATTGTGTGTGCAGGGCACGGATTTAAAGCACAATTTCTCATGATCATAAAATGTGTTGTTTTCTCCTATGTACCCTCCCCCTCAATTCCTTGTCCCCTCTGAAAGAGTGGTAGATACAGTCTGAACACCAAGGCGTTGTATTTTGTGCTCAGTTAATTGATTTACAATGATTGCCACACCGTTGTGTTCTAAGGTGCTCTGCCTCTGCGTTTGATTTCCTGAAGCCCAGCCCCAGTGAGTAAGAGGTGACTTTTTAGGAGGGATGTTTCTAATGTCAGAGAAAAATGATAATGGCTTCAACTCAGGGTTAAGAGAGCTGATTAACCTCAAAAATCTTGTCTGGCTGGCAGATTTTTGAGTAAAACAAAACTGGATGTGGAGGAGTGACACTTTTCTTTCTAATTGTCTTTAAAGAAAATTAATTGTACATTTTTTTATACTTCTGACTGAAATGTTTCTGTGATATCTCTCAGTTGTCTTACAATTTAATCTGGTTTAAAGGCATAGATGTCAGTTGTGAATCAGGAGGGGGAAGCACCTCCCCATCTTTATTTTAAAAGAATCAGCTACTTGAGGGTCACCACTCTCCTGTGATGCGAGTGACTTTTCAATTCCTGAATCACCCGGTGATATCAAAGGTAGTGATGCAAAGAATCCAGACAGTTCTGAATGTGAAATACAACATCCAGCAGTGTCCCTGGTGCCCTTCTCTCCCGTGGCTGGCCTGTGTCAACTCTCTGGAGGGTCAACAAATAATGCAGAGGTTTCGGATCCCAGGAAGGGGAGTCCTTGGGTTCTTTCAAGAAATGTATTATGAGAGCTGTCCACAAAGGAATGGGGTTTCTCCCTGGGGAATATAAGCCAAATCTTTTATTTTGTTTCTGCAAACCATGAAGAGGTTTACTGTTGCGGCAAGCCCCTTTTGTTGATGAGGAACGTGTGCACTTCATTTCTGTAACTGTTTGCTTTATCTTCCTTCCCTTTGAGCTGTATTGATCTTTAATGCCTGTCTTGCCTGAAAAAGAAGGAGAAGGTGGAGGAGCAGGAGGAGGGGAGGAGGAAGAGGAAGGAAAAGGAAGAAGAAAAAGAAGGAAGGAGAAGGAGGAGGAGGAGGAAGAAGGAGAAAGAAAAAGGAAAAAGAAGAACAAGAATGAGGAGGAAGAAGAAAGAGGAAGAGGAAGAAAAGAAGGAAGAAGGAGGAGGAGGGGAGGAAGAGGAAGGAAGGATGAAGAAGAAAGAAGGAAGAAGAAAAGAAGGGTGAAGAAGGAGGAGGAGGAAGAAGAAGGAGAAAGAAAAAGAAAGAAGAATAAGCAGGAAGAAGGAGGAAGAGAAAAAAGGAGGAAGAAGAAGGAGGAGCAGGAAGAATAATAATGAGGAGGAGGAAGAGAAGGAAGTAGAGTAGGAGAAGGAGGAGAAGAGGAGGGGAGGAGGAGGAAGAGGAAGGAAGGAAGGAAGAAGAAGAAAAAAGTAAAAGAAAAAAGATTTGGTTGATTTACTGTGAAATAAACTGTATGACTTATTTACAGTATTTTAAATTCTTAATAAACACTAGTGCTTTGTTAAAAAACAAAGAAAATAAAAGCCTCATTTACATAGCCAGGAATACTGAAATCGTTTTATAGAATCATCAGCTTCAAGTGCCAAATGTCACAAGGGATGGTGAATAATGGCTTGCGGGAAACTAGGAAAGCTGAGTTTTAAAAAAATTTTAAATAACATGTTTTTAAAAATTATATTAATAGTATATTGATAAATAAGTCTCATCTAAGATAAGCTACTTTAAGGAGCTCATTTATTTTGAAAGGTAATTTGCATACAGGAAAAATTATACAGCATGGCAATATGTTATGGATTTTGTTGAATAGAAACTTTCAAATGTGTGGTCCTGTTAAGCATAATAGAGATAACAGTAAAGAGAGCTCTACATTGGTGAGAATCTTCAGGGAAGAGGGAGGAGGTGAAACTTGAACCTGGTCATGAAAGATGGTTAGTATGTAGATACCAAGAAGAAAAGAATGCTGTCCATTTCAAATGTAGAATGAAATGATTAAAGGCTCCAATCAAAAATAGTTATTGCCCTGGGCACAATGACAGTAACTCCAACCTAATTATAGTGAAGTGATCGGAATAATGGTTGAGCATATAAATTGTGGGGATATAAAATGGAGGCAATGAAAATATTAAGGCTAAATGTGAGAACTTGGATTTTTCTTTTTAAAATTTTGGAAGGGCCCAAATTTTTATACTAAAAAAAGTCCAAAGAATAGGTTCTATAGACTGAAGGTTTGTATCCTCCCAAAATTAGTGTTAAAATCCTAACCCCTGAAGTGATTATGTCAGGAGGTGGGGCCTTTGGAAGGTGATTAAGTCATGAGGGTGGGGCCCTCCTGGATAGGATTATTGCCTTTATAAAAGAGACCACAGAGAGCTCCTTCTCCCCTTCTGCCATGTGAGAAGTCAGCTAGAAGACTGCTATCTATAAACCAGGAAGCAGGTTCTAATCACACATTGAATCTACCAGTACCTTAATCTTGGACTTCCCAGCATCCAGAACTGTGAGGAATAAATGAGTGTTGTTTTAGCCAGTGGTTTCCAACCTTTTTGGCACCAGGGACAGATTTCATGAAAGATATCTTTTCCATGGATCTGAGGCAGAGGGGGATGGTTTCAGGATGACACTGTTCCTCTTCAGATCATCAGGCATTAGACTCTCATAAGGAATGCACAAACTAGATCCCTCATATGCAGTTCACAATACAGTTCATGCTCCCATGAGGCTCTAATGCCACCACTGATCTGACAGGAGGCAGAGCTAAGACAATAATGCTCACTCACCTGCCACTCACCTCCCACTCACTTCTGCTGTGTGGCCCACTTCATAACTGGCCATAGACCAGTCTGTGGCCTCATACCAGTCTGTGGTCCAGGGGTGGGGGACCCCTGGTTTAAGCCACCCTATGGTATTTTTGTTATAGTAGCCTGAATGGACTAAGACAACATGGCTAAATCAACAAATATTTGATGACTCACATGCATACATATATGCACACATATGTGTTAAAACAACAGCAACAACTTCATGATATGGAGGGTGTGATAGTAAGCTGTTAGCTAGCTTAAGCAGTGTAAGAAAAGCTCAGTAATAACAAAATCACATGGGAACAGTTGGAGCTTATCCATATAATTTAGGAAAATATTAATATTTATTTTTGTTGCATTTGTAGGCTATGTAAATGTTGTAATAATTTAGAAATGATATGACATTTGTGCAAATTTTCCAAATTAGAATTTTGGAAATGGGAATTCAGGAGCTGGGATGGATATGAAAATAATGTTTAATATTGTTATTGATTTGCATTATGATACTAATCAATTTTCTTATATTTTATCTCAGTTTATTAACTGGCAGATTGTTTATAATCATAACAGCATTATTTAACAGGAATATAAAAAATTTTATTGCTTCTGTGTTGAAATCTGTTATAAGTTTGTAAAACTAAATAACAATTATAAGTGACAATACTTTAAAAATATAAAGTATATGCATTTATTAATGATGTTATATCTATTTTCTAAACATTTCAAAACAAATTTATCTACCTTTAATAAATATTAAGAAATAGCATTTCTGGCTGCACTACAATTGTTTAGTTTCATCGGTAGTTAAACATACTCTAGCTGGCTGTCAATAGAAATTTTATTTTATACATTTTAGCTTCTCTAAGAATATCTCACTCCTTATTTTTTTATATACTTAATAGCAGTTCAATTAAGATGTAATTTGGTACTACTGGGGAAATATAATTAGCAAAATCACTTCCCAGCCCAGAAAACCTCTCCACAAGGTTATAAAAGAAGAAAACAATTATTATTGAATAAGCATTAAAACAGAATGAGACGCATATTACAGGCAATCTGCTTGAGAAGTTACAAAGATAAATATAAATCATACTCTTTTATGTAACCAAGCAGAAGTGTCAATTGTATATGTCTTCTCATGATAAACAATAACTAGTTCTCAAATAAGAGGAGTTAACAGCACTATCTGTTTATTATAAATGTATTTGGTAATTTAGGTGACCATCTGTGTTAGTTAATTGGCTTTATAAAAAAAGTAAACTTTTCGTGCTTTTATGATGGAAGAAAGTTTTGCAACTTGGAGAGAGGCTGCCAAAAATAGGTTCCTATCCTTCCATGGAAACTAAGAGATAGGGCTGCTATCTTCCTTGATGATTTTATTTTAGATATGGTTCCCAAGTCTTTGAGAAAGACAGTCCTAGGTTGTAAACCTGGTAAGAGGCTTACTTACCTATTTAAAAATTTATATAAATTTATGAGGTACAAGTGTAATTTTGTTACATGCATAGATTGTGTATTGGTGAAGTCGGACATTTAGGGTATATATTACCCCAATAATGTACATAGTACCCATTAAATAATGTCACCCACTCACTCCTATCTACTGACCCTTCTGAGTCTCCACTGTCTATTATTCCACACTCTATGTCCATGTGAACACATTATTTAGCTCCCATTTGTAAGTGAGAACATGCAGTATGTGTCTTTGGTGTCTGACTTGTTTCACTTAAGATAATGGCCTCCAGTTCCATCCATGTTGCTACAAAATATATGATTTCATGGTTTTTTTAATGGCCAAATAGTGTTCTACTGTGTACATATGTCATGTTTTCTACATCCAACCATTCACTGATGGACATTTAATTTCATTTCACATCTTTGCTATTGTGAATAGCATTGAGATAAATGTATGAGTGCATGTATCCTTCTGATAACAATGATTTCTTTTTCTTTGGGTATATATCCAGTAATGGGATTGCTGCATGAAATGGTAGTTCTATTTTTAGTTATTTGAGAAATCCCCACACTATTTTCCATAGAAGTTGTACTAATTTATATTCCCACGAACAATGGATATGGTCTGGCTGAGCCCCCACCCAAGTTTCTTCTGAATTCCCACATGTTGTGGGAGGGACTTGGTGGGAGGTAATTGAATCATGGAGGCAGGTCTTTCCTGTGCTGTTCTCATAATAGTGAATAAGTTTCATGAGAGCAGATTATTTTGTAGAGGGGAGTCTCCCTGCACAAGCTCTCTTCTCTGCCACTGTGTGAGACATACCTTTCACCTTCCACCATGATTATGAGGCCTCCCCAGCCAAGTAGAACTGTTAAGTCATTAAACCTCTTTCTTTTGTAAATTACCCCGTCTCAGGTATGTCTTTATCAACAGTCTGAAAATGGAATAATAGAGTAAATTGCTACCAGTAGAGTGGGGCATTGCTGAAAAGATACCCAAAGATGTGGAAGTGAGTTAGGAACTGGGTAACAGGCAGAGGTTAGAACAGTTTGGAGGGCTCAGAAGAAGACAGGAAAATGTGTGAAAGTTTGGAACTCCCTAGAGACTTGCTGAATGGCTTTGATAATGATATGGACAATGAAATCCAGGCTGAGGTGGTCTCAGATGGAGATGAGGGACTTGTTGGGAACTGGAGCAAAGGTGACTCTTGTTATGTTTTAGCAAAGGGACCACCAGCATTTTGCCCTTGCCCTAGAGATTTGTGGAACTTTGAGCTTGAGAGAGATGATTTAGGGTATCTGGCAGAAGAAATTTCTAAGCAGCAAAGCATTCAAGAGGTGACTTAGGTGCTGTTAAAAGCATTGAGTTCTAAAAAGGAAGCAGAGCATAAAAGTTTGGAAAATTTGCAGACTGACAATGTGTTGGAAAAGAAAACCCCATTTTCTGAGAAGAAATTCAAGCTGGTTGCAGAAACTTGTATAAGTAATGAGGAGCCAAATGTTAATTGGCAAGACAATGGGGAAAATTTCTGCATGGCATGTCAGAGATCTTTGCAGCAGTCCCTCCCATCACAGGCCCAGGGGTTTAGGAGGAAAAAATGGTTCCATGGGCCTGGCCCAGGGTCCCTGTGCTGTGTGCAGTCTAGGGACTTGCTGCCCTGTGTCCCATCTGATCCAGCATGACTAAAAGGGGCAAAGATACAGCTCAGTTTGTTGCTTCAGAGGGTGGAAGCCCAAGCCTTGGCAGCTTCCACATGGTGTTGAGCCTGTAGGTGCACAGAAGTCAAGAATTAATGTTTGGGGACCTCCACCTAGATTTCAGAGGAAGTATGGAAATACCTGGATGCCCAGGGAGAAGTTTGCTGCAGGGATATGGCCCTCATGGAGAACCTCTGCTAGGACAGTGTGAAAGGGAAATGTGGCATCAGAGCCCCTCCACAGAGTCCCTACTGGGGCACTGCCTAGTGGAGCTGTGAGAAGAGGGCCACTGTCCTCCAAACCCCAGAATGGTAGATCCACAAACAGCTTGTACCATGTGCCTGGAAAAGCAGCAGGCACTCAATGCCAGCCCATGAAAACTGCCAGAAGGGGTGCTATACCCTGCAAAGCCACAGGGTTGTAGTTGTCCAAGGCCATGGGAGCCCATCTCTTGCATCAGTGTGACCTGGATGTGAGACATGGAGTCAAAGAAAATGATTTTGGAACTTTAAGATTTCACTATCCCACTGGATTTAGGACTTGCATGGGCCTGTAGCCGCTTTGTTTTTGCCAATTTCTCCCATATGGAATGGCTGTATTTACCCAATGCCTGTATCCCATTATATCTAGGAAGTAACTAACTTGCTTTTGGTTTTACAGGCTCACAGGTGGAAGGGACTTGCCTCATTTCAGATGAGATATTGGACTGTGGACTTTTGAGTTAATGCTGAAATGAGTTAAGAGTTTGGGGGACTGTTGGGAAGGCATGATTGGTTTTGAAATATGAGGACATGATATTTGGGAGGGGCCAGGGGCAGAATGATATGGTTTGGATGTGTCCCCACCCAAATCTCATTTTGAATTTCCATGTGTTGTGGGAGGGACCCAGTGGGAGGCAATTGAATCATAAGGGTAGGTCTTTCCTGTGCTGTTCTCATGTTAGTGAATACGTCTCATGAAATCTGATGGTTTTAAAAAGGTAGTTTCCCTGCACAGGCTCTTTTCTCTGTCACCTTGTGAGACATGTCTTTCACCTTCTGCCATGATTGTGGGGCCTCCCCAGCCACGTAGAACTGTAAGTCCATTCAACCTCTTTCTTTTGTAAATTTCCCAGTCTTGGGTATGTCTTTATCAGCAATGTGAAAATTGACTAATACAGCAGTGTATAAGAGTTTCCTTATCTCTGCATTCTCACCAACGTGTGCTATTATTTGCCTATTTAGTAATAGTCATTCTGATTGGGGCAAAATGACATCTCATGTGGTTTCAATTTGCATTTCTCTGATGATTAGTGATTTTGAGCATTTTTTTCATATAACTTGTCCGTTTGTATGTATTCTTTTGAAAAATGTCTATTGATATACTTTGCTCACTTTTAAAATTTTGTTTTTAAATTTTAAATTTTTAATTTTGTGCAGACATCATAGGTGTATATATTTATGGAGTACATGAGATGTTTTGATCAAAGCCTGTAATGTATAATAATCACATAATGGAAGACGGGGTATGCATCCCCTCAAGCATTTATCCTTTGTGTTACAAACAATCCAATTATAATCTTTTAGTGATTTTAAAATGTACAATTAATTTCTTATTGACTATAGTTACCTAGTTTTGTTATCAAATACTAGGATTTATTTATTCATTCAAACTAGTTTTGTTCCTATTAATCACCCCCACGTCCCCCAACCCCACGCAACTACCCTTCATATACTGTGGTAATCATCCTTCTACTATCTATCTCTATGAGTTCTATTGATTTTTATATCTCACAAATAAATGAGAACATGTGATGTTTGTCTTTCTGTGCCTGGCTTATTTCACTTAACATAATGACCTCCAGTTCCATTTATGTTGTTGGTGATGACTGAATCTCTTGCTTTTTTATGGCTGAATAGTACTCCATTGTGTATATATACCATATTTAATTTATTTATTCATCTGTTGATGAACACTTAGGTTGCTTCCAAATATTCGTTATTGTGAACAGAACTGTAGCAAATATGAGCATGCAGATATTTCTTCAATGAGCATTTGTTATTGCCTGTCTTTGGAGATAAGCCATTTTAACTGTGGTGGTGTGATGTCTCCTGGTAGTTTTGATTTGCATTTCTCTGATGATGAATAATGTGGAGCACCTTTTCAAATGCCTTCTTGCCATCTGTATGTCATCTTTTGAGAAATGTTTATTCAAATATTTTGCCATTTTTGATCAGATTATTAGATTTTTTCCTACACAGTATTTGAGCCTCTTATGTGTTATGTTTATTAATCTCAGACACTCTGACAAGAGTGTCAAATGGGTAGTTTGCAAGTATTTTCTCCCATTCTGTGGGTTTTCTCTTCATTTTGTTGATTGTTTCCTTTGCTGTGCATAGGCTTTTTAACTTGATATGATCCTATTTATCCATTTTTGCTTTGGTTGCCTCTGCTTATGTGGTATTACTCAAAAAATCTTTGCCCAAGGCAATGTCCTAGAGATTTTTCCAAATGTTTTCTTGTGGTAATTTCACAGTTTGAGGTTTTAGGTTTAATTCTTTAGTCTATTTTGATTTTTGCATATTGTGGGAGATACATTTCATTCTGTATATAAATATCCAGTTTTCCCAGCACTACTTATTGAAAAAAATGTCTTTTTTTCCAGTGTATGTTCTTGGCACCTTTATCAAAAGTGAGTTTATTGTAGGTGTGTGAATTTGTATCTGCATTTTCTATTCTGTTCCATTGGTCTATTTGTCTGTTTTTATGCCAGAACTATGCTGTTTGGGTTATTATAGCTCTGTAATGTAATTTGAAGTCAGGCAATGTGATTCTTCCAGTTTTGTTCTTTTTGCCCAGAATAGCTTTGGCTATTCTGGGTCTTTTGTGATTCCATATAAATTTGAGAATTTTTTTCCTATTTCTGTGAAGAAAGTCATTGGTATTTGCATAGAGATTGCATTGAAGCTGTAGATTGCCTTGGGTAATTTGGACATTTTAACAATATTGATTCTTCCAATCCATGCCCTTGGGATATCTTTTCATTTTTTTTTTGGTCTCCTCTTCAATTTCTTTCATAAATGTTTTATAGTTTTTATTATAGAGATCTTCCACTTCTTTGGTTAATTTGAAGGTATTTAATTTTATTTGTGGCTATTGAAAATGGACTACATTGTGATTTCTTTTTCAGTTTGTTCATTGATGGCATATAGAAACTCTATTGATTTTTGCATGTTGATTTTGTCTCCTGAAACTTTGCTAAATTTGTTTATCAATTCTAATCGTTTTTTTGTGCAATCTTTAGGTTTGTTCAAATGTAAAATCATATCATCTGTAAACAAGGATAATTTTACTTCTTTTCCATCTTGGATGCCCTTTTATGTTGCTCTTGCCTGATTACTCCAGCTAGGACTTTCAGTACTATGTTGCATTATACTGGTGAAAGTGGGCATCCTTGTCACGTTCCAGATTTAAAGGGAAGTATTTCATTTTTTCCCCGTTCAGTATGATAATACCTGTGTGTCTGTTTGGATTTTATTGTGTTGAGGTATGTTCCTTCTATTTCCAGTTTTTTGAAGTTTTTTTTTTTTTTATCACGAAGGAATGTTGAATTTTAGCAAATGCTTCCTTTTTTAGCATCAATTGGAATGATTTCATGTTTTTTTTTTCCTTTATTCTGTTGATGATAGACCACATTGATTGATTTGTGTATGTTGAACCCTATTTGCATTTCAGGGATAAATCCTACTTGGTCATGACGAAGGATCTTTTAAATGTATTGTTGAATTTGTTTATTAACATTTTGCTGATGATTTTTGCATCAATATTCATTAGGGACATTGGCCTGTTTTTTTTTTTTTTTTTTTTTTTTTTGTGGGTTTTTGCTTGGTTTTGATATCAGAGTAATATCAGCCTTGTAGAATAAAATTCTATGTGTTCTCTCCTCGTCTAAATTTTGAAATACTTTTAGTCTGGTTGGTATTAGTTCTCCTTTCAGTGTTTAGTTGAATTCAGCAGTGAAGTCCCTGGGTCCCAAGCTTTTCTTTACTGGGAGACTTTTTATTACAGCTTGGTCCCATTACTTGTTATTGGTTGGTTCACATTTTGGATTTCTTTGTGGTTCAATCTTTGTAGTTTGCATGTGTTTAGGAATTTGTTCATTTTTTCTAGATATTCCAGTTTATTGGTTTATAGTTGCTCATAGTAGCCACTAATGATCTATTAAATTTTGCAGAATCAGTTGTAATTTCTTCTTTTTTTTAATCTCTGATTTTATTTATTTGGGTTTTCTCTCTTTTTTCCTTAGCCTGGCTAAAGGTTTGTTAATTTTGTTAACTTATCAAAAAAACAACTTTTTGTTTCATTGATCTTTTGTGTTGTTTTCTTCATTTCAATTTCATTTATTTCTGCTTTGATATTCATAATTTATTTCTTCTACTAATTTCGGGTTTGTTTTGCTCATGCTTTTCCAGTTCTTTAGGATACACTGTTAGGTTGTTTATTTGAAGTTTTTCTTATTTTTTGATGTAGGCCCTGATAGCTATAAACTTCCCTCTTAGTACTACTTTTGCTATATTCCATAGGTTTTGGTATGTTATATTTCCATTATCATTTGTTTCAGGAAATTTTTTAATTGACTTCTTAATTTCTTCATTGACCCACTGGTCATTCAGGAGCATATTATTTAATTTCTATCTATTTGTGTAGTTTCCAAAATTCCTCATTATTAATTCCTAGTTTTATTCCATTGTTGTCAGAGAAGATGCTTTTATATTTCAATTTTTTTGAATGTTTAAGACTTGTTTTGTAACCTAACGTATGGTGTATCCTTGAGAATGATTCACATGCTGAGGAAAAGAATGTGTATTCAGCAGCCCTTGGATGAAATGTTCTGTACATAACTGTTAGGTCCATTTGGTCTACAGTACAGATTAAATCTGATGTTTCTTTGTTGATTTTCTGGCTGGAAGATATGCCCTATAATAAAAGTGGGGCATTGACATCTCCAGCTATTATTGTTTTAGAGTTGATCATTCTCTTTAGCTCTAATAATATATGCTTTATATATCTGGGTGCTCCAGGGTCAGGTGCATACATATTTACAATTGTTATATCCTCTTGCTGAATTGACCACTTTATCATTACATCATGGTCTTCTTTCTCTCTTCTTATAGTTTTTGTCTTGAAATCTATTTTTTCTGATATAAATATAGCTACTCCTGCTCTTTTATGGTTACCATTGGCATGGAATATCCTTTTCCATCCCTTTATTTTCAGTCTATGTGTGTCTTTATAGGTGAAATGTATTTCTTGTAGGCAACAGATCAGTGGGTCCTGCTTTTTTTTTAAATCTATTCAGACACTCTATGTCTTTTTATTGGACAGTTTAGTTCATTTAAAGGCAGTGTTACTATTGATAAGTAAGGACTTACTCCTGCCTTTATGTTATTTGTTTTCTGGTCTTCTCTCCTTTCTTTCATTCATTCCTGCCTTCATTTCAGTAAAGGTGATTTTCTGTCATAATATGATTTAGTTTCTTGCTTTTCACTTTTTGTATGTTAATTGTACATTTTTTTGGTTTGAGGTTACCATGAGGCTATATCTGCTTTAGGAGACACTGTAAGCCAAGTAATACTGTGGTTCTTGCAGACTTGTAGAGGTACCACCCTGATAAGTCTTGGAGAAGATCTGAAAGAATTCTCTGGATTATCAGACAAAGACTCTTGCTCTTTTCCCCTATTTTCTCCAAAACGAACAGAGTATCTCTCTTTGTTCTGAACCACCTGAACTTGAGAGTGGAGTGATTCAACCACCCTTGTGGCTGCCATGACTAGGACTGTACTGTGTCAGACCTGAATCAGCACATGACTGGGTCTCACCCAAGGCTTGCTGGAACCATTTCGTGGCTACTGCCTTTGTTCCTTTAAGTTTCTGGAGCTCTGAAATCATCAGGTGGCAAAGCCAGCCAGGGCTGTGTCCTTTCCTTCAGGGCAATGACTTTCCCTGGGCCCTGGATGGGTCCAGAGGTGCCATCCAGGAGCCAGGGACTTGAGTCAAAAGCTTTAGAAGTCTACTGGGTGTTCTATTATACTGAGGCTGAGCTGGCACTCAAAGCCCTAAGATGCATTCTTTCCACTTTTCTTCCACTTTCCAAAGGCAGAGATGCCTCACCCCTTGGCCACTGCTACCACAGGCCCTTGGGAGTACGGCGAGACTACCACCAATGTTCTCTTAACGACCAAGGTCCTGTAAGGCAGCTGGTAGTGAATGTTGCCTGGGATGGGACTCATCCTTCCAGGAACTGAGATCTTCTTTGACCTACAGCAGGCCTAAGAACGCTGTCCAAGAACTAAGTCCTGGAATCAGGACCCCAATAGCCCACTTGATGCTCTACCCACCTGTGGCTGAGCTGGTACCTACTGTGCAAGAAAAAGTCCCCTTTACTTTTACATCTGCTTTTCTTAAACAGAAGGGATCTTGCCCCTTAGCCACCACAGCTGAGAATGCACTGAGTCTCTCCTAAAACCAGCAAGTCTCAGAGTGTCACCCAAAGTCCAGAATGTCCTACGTGGGTATCATTGATGGTTATTCAGGGCCCAGGGGCTCTTCATTTAGCAGGTGAGGAATCTTTCCAGGACTGGGTCTTTTTCTTCAAGGCAATGTGTTCCCTTCTAGCCCATGGTGTGCCTAAAAATATCATCAGGGAGCTAGGGGCTAAAAAGGGGGCCTCATGACTCTGACTGGTTTACTATCCTGCTGTGGCTGAGGTGGTATCCAAGATTCAAGACAAAGTCCTCTCCACTCTTCTCTCTCTTCTTCTCAAGTGTTAGGAAGGGGTCTCTTTTGGAGCCATGAGCTATGAAGCCTGGGGTTAGGAGAGGGGTGATGCCAGCATTCCCTCAGCTGTCCTGGCCAGTTCTCAGTAAATCTATTCCCAGTTCCTCCCCTGTGCCCCACAAGCCCACTGTCTCTGGGCCCAGTTCAGCACTAGGACTCATTTCACCTAGGAGTTGCAGTACTTGTGGCCTTAACTATCTTTCAAGTTCATTTGAAACCCCAGAGACCTTTAGCCTGCAGTGGTGAGGCATGCACTGGGATCTGTGATTCCCTTCTGGCTAGTGCTGTTGTAAATGTTCCCTCCGTGAGTGGGCATCAGCTGAGTTTGGTCCAGTTTTCCTTTCTGCTATAACAAAGCAGCACTGAGTTTAATGCCTCACAGTTGCTGCACTCTCCCTCTCTCCAACACACAGAATCACTCTCTGCACCACACCCCCACTGCCAGGGGATAGGGCAGGGGTAGATTTAGCCATTTAAGACTGTTTTTCATACATTTCAGTGCCTCTTTCAGAGACATAAAATTGAAACCAGGTACTGTGAGTGCGCACCTTATTTTTGGTTCTTATAAAGGTGCTTTCTTTGTGTAGATAGTTGTTAAGTTGGTGTTCTTGTGAGGGGATGATCAGTGGAACCACCTACCCCACCATCTTGCTCCACCCCTCCCTTTGCCCAAATAATAATAAAATAATAAGATTATTTAATTTATTTTTTTATTGTCAAGCTTTTTGATTTCGTTGTATATTCTGGATATTAGACCCTTGTCAGATGCATATTTTGCAAGTATTTTCCCCTCACTCTGATGGTTGTTTGTTCACTCTATTGATTATTCCTTTTGTTGTGCAGAAACTGTTCATTTAATTAAGTCCAATTTGTTTATTTTTGTTTTGTTGCCTGTGCTTTTGAGGTCTTAGTCATGAATTCTTTACCTAGACCGATGTCCAGGAGAGGTTTCCCTAAGTTTTCTTTTAGTATTTTTATAGTTTCAGTCCTGCATTTAAGCCTTTCATTCATTTTGAATTGATCTTTGTATATGGTGAGAGAAAAGGATCCAGTTTCATTCTTCTGCATATGATAATTCAATTTTCTCAGCACCATTTATTGAAAAGGGTGTTCTTTTCTGTGTATATGTTCTTTCAAATTTGTCAAATGTGAGTTGGCTGTAAATATGTGGCTTTATTTCTGAGTTCTGTATTTTGTTCCACTGATCTATTTGTCTATTTTTATACCCATACCATGCTTTTTTGGTTATTATAGCCTTGTAGACAATTTGGAATCAGGTAATGCAATGTCTCTGGCTTTGTTTTAAAGATTTCCATACATTTCGAAGAGACAGAGTGTGTTAGTCTGTTCTCACACTGCTGATAAAAGCATACCCAAGACTGAAAAAAAGGCTTAATGGACTCACAGTTTCATGTGGCTGGGGAGGCTTCACAATCATGGCAGAAAGTGAAAGGTAGGTCTTACATGGCGGCAGGCAAGAGATAAATGAGAGCCAATTGAAAGGGGGTTCCCCTTATAAAACCATCAGATCTCTTGAGACTTATTCACTCTCCTGAGAACAATATGGGGGTAAACGCCCCCATGATTCAATTGTCTCCCACTGGGACCCTCCTACAACACATGGGAATTATAGGAGCTACAATTGAAGATGAGATTTGGGTAGGGACACAGCCAAACCATATCACAGAGAAAGGAAACTTTCTATAGAAAATATTCTCTGGTTGTGGTAGCTGGTGCCTGTAGTCCCAGCACTTTGGGAGTCTAAGGAGGGAGGATTGCTTGAGGCCTAGTGTTCAAGACCAGCCTGAGCAACAGAGTGAGATCCAGTCTCTACAGAAAATTTAATAGTTAGCTGGGAGTGGTGGCTTGTGCCTGTAGTTCCAGCTACTTGGGAGGCTGAGTTGGGAGGATTGCTTGAGCCCAGGAAGTCAAGGCAGCAATGAACCACAATCATGCCACTGCACTCCAGCCTGGGTGACAGAGTGAAACCTTGTCTCAAATATATATATATATATATATATATATATATATATATATATATATATATATATATAAAATGTGATATGATAAATTTAAAAATGAGAGGCTTAATTCTCCTTGCTAAAATTAAGAGAAAAGATTCCTGTCCACTTCCCATGTTATAAACATATGGCATAGCCAGGTACAGTGGCTTATGCATATAATCCCAGCACTTTGGGAGGCTCAGGTGAGTGGATCACTTGAGGTCAAAATTTCGAGACCAGCCTGGCCAACATGGTGATACCCCATTTCTACTAAACATACAAAAATTAGCCATGTATGGCAGCATGGGTCTGTAATCCCAGCTACTTGGAAGGCTGAGACAGGAAAATTGCTGGAACATGGGAGGTGGAGGTGGCAGTGAGCCGAGATCACACCATTGCACTCCAGCCTGGGTGACAGAGTGAGACTCCATCTCAATAACAAAATAAAACATTGACCCATATATAAAACATATATATGGCATTTATAAAACATATATATATATAGAAATAAGGCATATATATATAAACACATGTATAAAAGGACAGGGACAGGAATTTTTTCTCCTAATTTTAATGAGGAGAATTAGCTTCTTATTTTTAAATTTATGTACACTTATGGTACCTAGAAGTTGTAATGTTTTTACAAAAAATTTGTAGCAGATTTTTGTTAGTAACAAAAATTTTAATAATCTCATAGTGAGACTTTATTTATAAAATAGGATGAAACCATTATTCTACATTTATGATTAAGAATGCTGATTTCAAAGTAATCTACCCTAAATTGCTTCACAGTGGAGTTTTTATTCAAGTGAAAGGAATATAGCTAAAGTAGAATGAAAAGGCATTACTTCTGAAGATATTCTAGCATCTATCAACATTATCTACATTCTTGTCAGAATACATACTTTATGGTTAAGGACTGATCCAGTTTTTGCAATGAAAGATGAGAAAACTTAGATTAATGCTTCCACCTAATAACAGTAACAATTGCTAGAAGAATATTTTTTTAAAAAATTATTGTATAAACCAATGAGGAATCAGAAAGACAGAAATCCCAAGGCCCAATATACAAATAAAATTATGTTAACATAGACATAATCACTAAATCTACTTTTACCTTGGGGGAACTTGCTGATAAAACTTTCTTGAGCTTTGATTTTGTAGCATTACACAGTCAGAAAAAGTTAAGGCCCAGGACTTGGCCAAGGATGAATTCTATAAGATTCGTTATTCCCAATAAAACTGGAACATCAAAGGTCTAAGTGCATTGAATTATGGTATACTAGACTTTATCCCACTCTATTCCCAGATCATCCCTAATCTCCAGGGGTGTCAGAAAAGGCTGCCATGGCTCTGAGCAGGACAGTAGAATAAAATGGAAATGGGAAATGAAGATTTTTGGTCAAGGAACTGCCTTTATATGGATTTGTTCTGTCAGTATGCTTAGGTTGGGGTAACCAAGGATATCTCAAAATATGGACTTTATTTGAAGAGATCCCTGACTTGTAGTGACTCCTTGCATCTTGCAAAAAGCATATGTAAAATGTTTTTGAAATAGGGCTTATTAATATTTTTATTGGTTTTGGAGTCAAAGTTATGAATTAACTTGGTAGGAAAGACATCGTGTGTTGACTTCCTAAAAAAATTGTATGATTTTCGTTTGTTCAAATATTCTTTTTAGTTTTTAGTAGTGTTTAAAATTTTTCTTCATAGATATTCCTTGTTGTTTATTCCTAGATATTTTAAGTTTTTTGTTGTTACTGTAAACAACCTTTTCTCACTTTCTATCTTCTGGACTTTATACATGTATATGTAAAATAGCCTATATATAATAGCCTATATATGCACATATAAGCTGTATATGCCATATATGTATATATAGGCTATTATTTTATTCAGAAAATTTAAGTTAGCTGGGAATGGGGGCTTGTGCCTATAGTTCCAGCTACTTACTTGGGAGGCTGAGTTAGGAGGATTGCTTGAGCCCAGGAAGTCAAGGCAGCAGTGAGGCTACTATTTTACAGCCTATATATACATATATAACATATATATATATATACATATATTGCTATATATAGCCTATATATAATATATAAGCTATATATGCTATATATGTATATATATAGGCTATTATTTCTACATGTAAATTTTATAACTTACTGTATTCTTTTATTTTTAGTAATGATTTTTCAGTATATTCTTGTCTTTGCTAGGTCATAGTCATAATTTTGAACTAGATTATTTGAATTGACTTTTGTTTCCAATGATATTGGTTTATACATACAGTGCTATGTTAAATACTATAGGTGGTAACAAGTATTCTTTTTTTTCTATTTTGATGAAAATTTGTCTAGTATTTATATATATAGATATATGAAATATTCTATAAAATTATATTTGACACAAAAATATGAATAATTTTAAAGTACCCAGTTTTCCTACATCTTTGAGTAATTTCTGTGAAGAATAAATTTTCATTTTTTTCAAATTTCTTTTCAGTATCTATGAAGATAATCATATAACCTTTTCATTAGCTCTATTAATTAGGAAAATCTTAGTTTTACATCTCCTAATATTAATACATCCTTGCAATCTGGATGAAGATTCATAATTTTATTATGTTAAATTGCTACAAATTTTTGTTTAGAAAGATTTTATTTAGTATTTTTACATCAATATTTATAAGTATAATTGATTTATCCCTTTTTGGGTATGTGAGAACTCTACCTAAATTTTAGTAATTATAAAATAACAACCAACCAAAAACATACGTGCACAACCACACCTGTTTGGAAAATAATTCAAAAATTTAATTGATTAGTTATGGGCACAGAAGTGGAACAGAGTGAAGCTATTTTACCTTAATACTTAATATTATTTGGGAGGGATTATGAAAAGGGGGCTCAAGGACTACTTTCGGGTGGGTGGCAAGGAGCTGAATAGGAATTTGTAATTTGCAGAAGAGAGGAAGAGAAGAGAAGACAAGAGAGTGACATGATCTAATGAGTTCATGGATGCCTAAACCTGAAGGAGAGTTCTGAGAGGGTGTCTGTGTGATAAACTTGTGAGAACTGAGGTACCTAATATAGTTGTAGAATGATCTAATTCCCCTGACACAGCGCGTTGTCCTCCTTCTTCCATGGTGCCTAACCTTTCTTAATCTGCCAACGTAATAGCCTTGAGTTAGTTATGTGAGCAACTAAGGGCAGGGGAAGTAGAGAGAAATGCAGTACCCTTCACTGGTCCCACTTTGGTAGAAGTATCATCTTGTAGAAGAATCCCAGAACAGGCCGGGCACGGTGGCTCACACCTGTAATCCCAGCACTTTGGGAGGCAGAGGTGGGTGAATCACCTGAGGTCAGGAGTTCGAGACTGGCCTGGCCAACATGGCGAAACCCCATCTTTACTAAAAATACAAAATTTAGCTGAGCGTGGTGGCAGGCGCCTGTAATCCCAGCTACTCAGGAGGCTTAGGAAGGAGAATCGCATGAACCCGGGAGGCAGAGGTTGCAGTAAGCCGAGATCGTGCCACTGCATTCCAGCCCCGGCAACAAGAGTGAAACTCCGTCTCAAAATAAAATATAAAATAAAAAAATAAGAGAGAATCCCAGAACAAGACCAGCCATATAGTGCAGCCCAAGACAAAGAGTTAACACTTACGAATCCAGGAGCAAGAACGTGAACTAGTTTAGGAATCAATATGAGACAGACCATCTTATCCTGAACTACTAGAGGAAGGTGACATTTGAAAGGTGAAAAGGCAAAAATGTAGCAGTATGATAATCAAGTCTTCCCTTGCATAGCATTTAAAATCTGAATGTCAAATTCATATGCATAATTTAATTTGAACTTTACAGGAATTTGGTGTGATATAGGTAGAGCAAGCCATATTACTAGTCTCTCAATGAATGAGATTACAGTGTGAAAGGTCATGTTCTTAGTCCAAGTTCATACAGCTAATAAGAGGTCGAATCAGGCTTACACCTAGGTTTCCTGAAACTTTTTCAGTTTATTTTTCATAATAATTCAAACACATATAAACCACATATGCCTAAAAGAACACGTCTGCAGTCACCTTTGCTTCCAACCTGAAATGGGATGTGTTTGGCAGTATTTGGCTTTCATTGACTTGATGTGATTCTTCAAGACCTTCCTGGTGGTGACCGAGCAGTGCCAGCTGAACACCCAAATTAAGAAGAGGAATTGAGCCACCAAAAAAGAAGTTGAATCTTGATTTACTAAAACTCCGACTACACTTAAGATGCCATTTCTGTGCACATCGGATATCTCTCAAGGTATTTTCAACTGCAATCAAAATATGTATGTGTGTTTTCTTGCTTTGAAAAACGATGACTCTGCTAAAAGTAATTCAGTAAAGATCTCTAATCATGGCCAGTTTGACCGATATAAATCAAAATAAACTTCTTTTAGAGGAAGTAAGTTGCTCAATGATTCAGTAAGCTGATCTTTGAAATGTGCTTCTAGTAGTCTATGAATATGATGCTATGCCTGGATGACACCTTAGATTTCCACTTGGCCGCTTGCAAAGATTAATGACCGGTGTCGCAGACAAGAAAAACTGTACAGATTCTAGATAAATGCATAGCACATCTTATAGTCTCCCTAAATAGCACTTAAGGTTTTTTTCCTTCTTGTGTGAAAGCTATATTTTTACTCCTACCAATAAATGAGAGCATATTTTAGACTTCTAAAGGGTATTAAGAAAAATATACTGTGGCCGGGCACAGTGGCTCACATCTGTAATCCCGGCACTTTGGGAAGACGAGGCGGGCGCATCACGACGTCAGGGTTTCCAAACCAGCCTGACCAACATGGTGAAACCCCGTCTCTACTAAAGATACAAAAAATTAGCCAGGCATGGTGGCGTGCACCTGTGATCTCAGCTACTCAGGAGGCTGAGGCAGGAGAATCACTTGAACCCGGGAGGCGGAGGTTGCAGTGAGCCAAGATCGCGCCATTGCACTCCAGCCTGGGCGACAGGGCGAGACTCAAAATAATAATAATAATAATAATGATATAATGTACTCTGTTGAGCTATATTTTGTCTCAGTAAACCCCAATCCCCGTGCCTTTTATTACAAGTAGGGTCACCATCTTGCATTTCAAATTGTTTGACCCTGTACCATGGGATATATTTGACAAATGTACTCTTTTTTTTTTTTTTGCAATGAATTTTTTTATTATACTTTAAGTTTTAGGGTACACGTGCACAACGTGCAGGTTAGTTACATATGTATACATGTGCCATGTTGGTTTGCTGCACCCAGTAACTCATCATTTAACATTAGGTATAAGTACTCTGAACACATTTTTCAGAAACAATTCCAGAATATAAATCTTAAACTTGCTGATTGCAGAGGAATAAAACTATTTAAAACTTTTAAGGCATTGTGAAGACTAAGTGCCATTCTATGAAACATAACAGTATTTTTACCGCTGTACTTTTAGGAATTATGTATTTTAAGCTGAAAAGGCAAAGTACTTTTATGTAATCTGACCCTCAATTGCTAGCTCCAGGAGACTAGCTATGATTAAAATTATTTTCTACTGATTTTATTTATTGGACTATAGTGGGCATAATCTATGTGAATTTTAATAAAATGCTGATAATGATATGGCCAGTCCAAGTGATACAACCTAATTCTGCTTGTGACAATATGTGAACCATTTATAAGGTTGACAAAATGTGGGATCTACAGAATATAATTTCCTTCTGTACACAGCCAAACTAAACTACTGCATGCTAATGAACCTTACACTAAGGAAGTCCAGATGGCTGAAATAATAGTTTCATTTATGCAGAGAAATAGGGAGATTTTAAATTGGCTGTCTTTGTTAAATCTGAATTAACTTTTCTTTATAAGGGAATTTTCACCCCAATTAAATAAACTCTATATTGTAGTTGATTACTTAAAAATCAACTCCAATTGTTGCTAATTGTAAGAAAATATTTTTAAATTAAATACCTGCTCTAACAAATATAATTGATCATTTTAAAGTATTTTTTAGTTTTTAGAGTAATTTAAAAGCTATTAAGTTTATATATATATGAATAGCAAGGTTCTTGAAGGTAGAAACTCCCATTTTTAAAAAAGTTTCTTATGATAGAAAATGGGACATTTGGCCGGGCATGGAGGCTCACGCCTGTAATCCCAGCACTTTGGGAGGCCAAGACGGGTGGATCACCTGAGGTCAGGAGTTCAAGACCAGCCTGACCAACATGGCAAAAGCCCGTATCTACTAAAAATACAAAAAATTAGCCAGGCGTGGTCAGGAGGCTGAGGCAGGAGAACCACTTGAACCCAGGAGGTGGAGGTTGCAGTGAGCCAAGATCAGGCCACTGCAACAGAGCGAGACTCCGTCTCAAAAAAAAAAAAAAAAAACAAGAAAAGAAAAAGAAAATAGGGCATTTTACATTTGGGTTCAATTAATGGTGTGGAGTGGATAAAATGGGGAAGACTAGTGCTCAAAGATCACGTATGCCAAAATGTAGAAGTAGCTTCACTTTTGAAACGCAATCCTTTTATTTTTCTTATGCTGCTCCAAAGGAAGCATTCCTTAGGATGATTCATATATTAATAGCTGTATCTTTTTCAACACAAAACCAGAAATAAATGTGCAGTCTTGAATTATTTTCAGGGTAAAAACCACCAAAATGTTTGTGTGTGTCTGTTGCTTTTCTTTCTTTCTTTTATTTAATTTGGTAAATTATTGTCTTAAAATGATTTCTTCCTCTCTTTGTGTTAACATTTGTGCTCAAGAAAAGCTAGTGAAAGTCTAACATTTAAAATAATGCATCATTTAAGTGTATTTGTATTCAGATAACTGTCAAATGAAGAAACACAAAAACTCTTTACAAAGGATTAGAAGATGGATTTTGGTTATAAGGAAGTTTCATAATTGAGAAAGAAGACAGTAGAAGATGTCTATGTCAAATTTATAAAGGTCAATTTATATAAACAAGTATTTTGATGTGGAAGAAAACATACTTCCTGTGTCATGGCTTTGGGAGATAAGGTTTATTTTCTTCACTAACATTTTGAAGAATCATTTTTATTTTATGATTTATTCATTGGCACAAATGTATGGGGTACATGATATTTTGTTACATGTACATAATGTGTAGTAGTCAAGTCATGGCATTTAGGGTGTCCATCACCCAAGCATAGTATATTTTTGTTAACTATAGTCATCCTGCTCTTTTAGCAAACATTAGATTTATTTCTTCTATCTATTTGTATGTTTGTACCCTTTAACCCACTTCTGCTCGTCCTCTCCACACCCCCAACTCACCCTTCTCATTCTCTATTATCTATCTTTCTACTCTCTACCTCCATGTGATCCAATTTTTAGGCTCCTACATAAAAGTGAGAACATGTGATATTTGTCTTTTTGTTCCTGGCTTATTTCACTTAACATAATGACCTCAGGTTCCTTCTATGTTGCTGCAAATAACATGATTTCATTCTTTTTTATGGCTGAGTAGTATGCCATTTTGTATATATATCAATTTATCCATTCATCTGTTTATTTTAATCAAAATAGAAATTTGATTTCTTTTCTGAAAGCAACATTTTAGAATTCTCTGAATTATTAAGACTTCATTATTGTATTTGTTGTGGTCATTTAATTTAAAGAGACATAAACTTTTATTTCCTACTGTTGTCAATCCCTGCCTACCCTAGCCCAACTCATTAGCTGGTGGTGAAACCCTCTTCCTAGAGAATTCATCTCTGAGCTTGCCTGAAATTCACCTGCTAGTAGACGCCTATGAACATTACTCATGTAACTAGCAGACCAAGTATCAATCTTACCTCCCTAGGACATTTGCTTGATGGAAATCTCTGGACTCCTCTGTACTTTCTGACCTTCAGGAAGGTATCATGAGTTTTTCCCAGTTGGGAGGTGCTGCATAGTTTTCTAGAGATTTCTAGTTCCAGGGAAATGGGTTCTACAGTACTTGGCTGGGACCTTGAGAATTATCCTCATTCTTGAAAACTTCCTTTTCCCAGAGCAGAGCTCTGATATTCTATCCCAGGAGAACTCTGATATTCCATCCTAGCCAGGGCCTAGGATCCTATTTCAAACTTGGTAGATTGCCTGGAAATCTAACGTCTTCCTCTCCCAGCAACATTTTAAGCATTATTACTGATGACAGATGCTCATAATTATAGTTCAGCCTGAAGATAGGACTTTTAAAAATATGGTCAACAACCTGTGTTTTTATTTTGCATTTTGCTTTTGATTTATGATGCAAAGTTGGAAGCATAATGTATACACACAGAGAGGGCCCACTTTGGCTCTCTCAGATACCATTTCCTTAATACATTGCCATCCACACTAGCATTCCTAATCCTAGAGGAGGAGCAGCTGTAGTGAGCAGACTTATAGTTGTAAGATGAAGTGGGCCAGCTGCAGGATGTGCTATCATACTTTGACTATCACACTTTGACTATCCATATCTAAATAGAGAAGCAGTGAAAGAGAAGAACTAGTAAGTTATCTAAGAGGATTCATGGTCAAACTTTTCCTTTATCTCATTACCTTTGTTCTTTTTCCAAATAGGAACAAGAAATAAAAAAGAAAGGACATTTAAAGCAGTAGCCAAAATGATGGCAGATGTCCCTGACCAACCTGGGTTCTCTGCCAGTATCAGATAGAGGTGACTCATTGCCAATTTGGGAAGCTGTTATGGACTGGGGGAACCTCAGGGGATAGTCTCTCCCATGAGGTGGCTTTCTACACTGCCTGAAGTTGCTTTAATGGTTTTTAGGAATAAGGTAGGGAAGGGCGGGGAGAACATTCTGTTTTATTTTGATTTCTGGTTTCAAGCCTGCATTTATTGCTCTATGACTAGCTCCATTTACATGCAAAAACCCCTGACAATAATCCATTCCTTTATGTGACAGTTCAAGCTAGATGCATTCTGGTGGATTACTCCTGATACCTAAAATAAGTATACAGTGTATATACAGTATAAATGGGCCAGTACAACATGGTCCATTGCTTCTTAATGTTAGTGCTCGATTTCTAGCTATAATAGGTACTTAGCAGTACAACCTCTGAAAATGATTTGTATCATATCATTTTTGCTTATTGAACAAGAGTAGCTTACTGCATTTATGTTGTATACTTATGAGTCCAACTTAAGTAGGCAGGATTTTCAGCTTTTAAACATAAGGAGGAGAGTATCTTAATTTTATTGTTTTTGCTAATGCTGTTAACAGCTGTCCTGGCAATAGCTTTTATGAGAATAAATGCTTTCTGACAAAAATTTCCTGTTAGAATACTCTTGTGAAACTGTACATCAGATCAAACTAAACCAAATTTGTCTCCTCCTTGCCATGATGTCTCCTCTGGAGTGTTATTTAGATGCCTGGATCTCTCAGGACAGGCTCTTGTTTTATCAGTAAACACCCTGCTCCAGCAGTCTTAATCAAAATTCCATACAATTAGACTTAACATACAGTAACCTTTAATACATGCAAAAATGCATTCCATAAGAAAGTGACAATATGCATATGTCAGGAAAGTGACAAACCCTTGCCTCTATTATTCTTTATCATTTTTTTTTTCTTAGGCAGAAAGCTGGTCCAGGTATTTTAGCCTCAACTCTGTCTCATATTGCTCTTCGTTGCTTCCCTTGACTTCAAAACACATCAAATGATCTACTAATTAAAAAAAAATAGAAGAAACATGAACTTTTTCCAGCAGGTATAGGAAAAGGAAAATTTTACCTTGTCTATTTTTTTCTTTAATTCTGAAAAATGTAAACAGCATCTCATTGAATGTGGAGCATTTCTGTTTGCCCTTTGTATTTTCAGCTGTCCTTGAATCCTTTGTCTTTCTTCCTTTATTTTTGGAAGTTGCTAGTAATGTTATTTCTGAAATACTGTTCATGATTCACTTTTCAAACATATAAAGAAAAGTCATGTCAACTTGTGCATTTTACATATTAGGGAGAGGAATTTAAAGATGAGATATTCATAAAGTATTTTATAATAAATGTTCTCTTACTACAAAATCAATTCATCAAACTTAGAGGTTTGTTTTAAGTACATAAATGAAAATAACCCCCAAATGAGCAGTCATAAACTTCAGACAGAGTATAAAGTAACATTAAGTCACAGAAACAATAAAAGGATAAATATAATACCGCTAATAAAGTGCAGATATCTTAAAACTGATATGAATACAAAAAAAGTAGAAAAATCAACACATAATAAATAGGCATAAGTGAAAGGCGAAATATTCCACAGAGGGCCCTAGTGAGTGCTACTGAGAGATCATTTAAACCAAATGAGCACAATGTTTTTGAGGATTGCAATAGGTGGTCGCCATAGAATAATAAGTCACAGTCTCTTGGTACTTCCTTCATTCCCTAATTTTGAGTAAAGTGCCTTTGAAAATAGAATTACTTTAAAGCACAGAAACCTCAGTGGAGCAAGGTTTCCTATTGAAAAGGGTTCCACGTGAAATGGGTCTTCCTTGGCTTCTTCCAGTGGGATTTAAGGAAGAAGTAGCAGGCTTTCTTTATGAAGCACTATTAACATATCAGGTTGTCCCAATACATGGATCCCAAGCACAACTAGTGTGTCAGTATAAAAGTAGAAGCGAATAAAGTACACCTATATAATGTAAAATAATCTATGATAGTCAAAATATTGTGTCTTAACATGGAAGTATTTGTTTAGAAGGACATAAACCATTTATTACATAATTTAAAAATGTTATTTGACCTAATAATCCTGAAAAGAAGGCAACCTCAGAATAATCCTTGTTGGAAAAAATAACTGTATGGAATTCTGTGCTGACAATTTATTAAACATTCTATGTTATAGAACATAAATGAAAATACAATCACACACAAATTCCTAATTTCGAGTTTATTATTAGTATTGGACCATAGTCACTTCCCTGCTTCAAATATCTTGCAAAATAATGATCTTTTGAAAGAGAATATTGTCTTTTTTGTCTTGAGTGAACAGTATCATTTTATTAGAACACAATCATTGTTATTTATAAATGTGATCCTTCTGCTTATTAATCTTTTCAAGAGACTTGTATCTATGTATTTTTGTGTTTTTCCAACTCTGGAAATCTTTTTCTCAACACAGCCTAAAGTAATTCAGTTTTAAGCATTTAAAGGTTTAAACTTTAATGGCAAAATACTCAGAAGCTTTTGGAAATCATGTTGAATAAACATCACACTTTCCTAACACTTAATGGTTATTGATGTTAAAGTACTATGCCATTAATAAAAAATTATAAATCAAAGTACTTGCAGAGGAGAGGAGAAATAAAATTAGAAAATAGTCTCAGTAGGATGAATTATTAAATAAAAATATCGTCTTAAAACATAATGGATTCTATTTTCATTAGAACTTCCAATGACAAATCAGATTTTCTTTCTCTTATTAAAATTGTTGGAATGTACTAAAGATGCACTTTCTCAAAATATTGAGAGGCAGAGGAAAGAACCAGGCCTACATAATTCTGACATTTAATAAACTCAGATCATTAACAACCCTTCCCCCCATCCCCATGTGCCTTGACCTTGCTCAACTCCATCACTTCATCCAATTAGTTCTCTTTCTTTAGCATCATGCTCAATTGTGTTGGTTTATCTTCATTTCTGTGATCACAACTAGCCTGTACTCTGTCAGATTCTTTGAAATGGAATTCTTTTTCTACTTTGAATTCTCTTTCTTCAGCTATTCGAATAGATGGCTATTCTCACTCTTCATATCTCCATTCAATATGTCCCTCACTGTGGTAGACTGCTTCCAAATATGGTCACCAATCATTATTCCATTATTTCATTCCTCTTCATGCATGCAATTCCTCCCATTCAATTCCAACAGGTGAACTCTGTTTTACTTCCTTTTGAATCTGGGCTGGTCTTAAGATGGGCTGATCTTCTAACTATCTTTGACTCATAGAATGCAGCAGAAGTGTCACCTGAGAATTCCTAGCTTAGATCTTAAGAAGACATGTAGCTCTTGCTTTAGCTCTCTTGGGATTCAGACTCCACATTTTGTTAAAAACTTGACACCTTCACATTGTCAAGGAAAAGAACAGCCTCTTTTGGTATCTTCAGTGGATCAGAAGGTTATTCTTTCCCAGAGATACAAGAAAACAGTTTCTCTATTCTAACTAACACTAATGCGCTGATATATCCATCTCTGAACCAATTGCTATGGGTATGAAAAAGAGCCTCATCTATTGTCTTAACACAATTGGGGTGCAAGAGAATGTGTTTCATTTTAGGAGAATGTAAAACTACCAAGTGATGCATTAGAAGGGGCTAAATTATACCTATATCCTCAAGATTTTGTTTTTAGCAGTTTAATTCATAAATCCTGCCAATGTTTACCCATATTTATCACCTGGAGATTTGTTATTTACTATTTCTTCTGCCTCAGGCTTTTGACTGAATGCCAGTACAATTTGTAAATCTGGATATGGATTTCTTGGAAATTTGAATTCCTGATTTAACTTATTTGTAGTAGTTGTCTTTAGGATAATATTTTTCTGTGGTAGGTACATTTTAGGTTATATCTTTTCATGTTTTTATCTCTAGTATCTAACACAATCTTGCACATAGTAGGAGCATATCTATTTGTTTTGAGAAAATAAGAATATTTTAAGGGCTATGTTTTTTCTTTAATAGAGTAAATAAATAAAGTATATATGTATTACTGTTTAAAGCCATTGAAATTCTCCTAAAACACAGGATGTTTTACGGAAAGTTGTTCAATAAATCTAAGGTTCCAGAAATAGACGTCTTTTCCGTTAATACCACTTCATCTGTGGGTTCAGTAAGTTCAATAAGTCTTCAGAATGTGAGAGGGAACATGATGATCTGTTCAAGAAGATATGGGACAGAATTTGTCTTCTATTTATTTTGTGGTGTTCAAGGGTAAATGTAATACTTTCTGGATGTTGTTTTGGAGCTTGGAAGCCCCGCAAATTAAATTTATGTTACAGGCATATTTTATTCCTTTGGAGAGAATATTAGTACATCTTTAATTTTTCTTCTATTCTTTTTATTTTATAATAAAAAGTAATTCAAAACCCTTAGATTTTTACAGTTTCTGTATTGACTGGCTTGAAGCACTCTAAGGAGGCATTTCAGCAGCATAAGTCAGTGTATACCATTAGGAGTCAGCGGACAAACTGAGTTGTCACAAACTATTGTAAAACAACCACACTGAACACCTCAACAACATGTTCCTTTATCCCCCCTTCCTGTCATCACTATTCTTTACCCTGCTCTATTTTTTATCCCTTTAAACAAATTTAATACACTTTTTATTTTTGAATAATTTTGTACTTACACAAAAGTTACAAAGATAATTCAGAGAGTTTTTGAATACCCCTCATCCACTTTTGCATATTTTTAACATCTTATATTACTATGGTTCATTTATTAAAACTAAGAAACTGGCATTCCTATACTGTTATTAACTAAACTCCAGAATTTATTTGGATTTCTCTTGTTTTCCACTCATTTCCTCTTTCTTTCCAGGATTAAATCTAACATACCTCATTCCATTTAGCTGCTATATTTCTCCTTTCTTTTCTTTACTTCTCTCCTCTTTCTCTTCTCATGCTTCACTTGACTCACCATTCCCTCTCAATTACAGCATTATTTATGTTATTATCTTAGTTTCCTCAACACCTTTTTTTTTCTCCTTAACTCTCTTCAGTCTAGTTTTGTTCTCAGGTGCTCCACTCTTACTGTTTATTCCCTGAAATATTTAATGAACATCTACTATGTGCCAGACACTGTGCTCAACATTTATTTACAATGATGAGCAAGGCACAGTCTTGAATACAGAGAGCTTACAACCCAGGTTATTCTTAGGTTTCCAACTTTAATACAATAGTCTTTTCTTACCCAAGTCATCTTTCTTGACCTTGGCTTCTTTTGGTCATTTTCCTCAACCTCTTTTGAAAACTTCTTGTTCTTGGATTTCAGTTGTACCCTGAAAAAGTGACTGGTTTTGACATGAGCCCTATAGAATTAGTCTCATCACTGTATAATTTGAACTTTTCTTCTTGTAATTATGTTCCCCTTTGTCTTTCTTTTCTTTCTTTCTTCCTTCCTTCCTTTCTTTCTTTCTTTCTTTCTTTCTTTCTTTCTTTCTTTCTTTCTTTCTTTCTTTCTTTCTTCTAAAGGAGAGTCAACAGTTATCTCTAGGCTGATGATTCACAGATATATCACACTCATCTTTAGTGTTCTATTTCCATTTCATCATTGGTTCCTTGGTTCCTCAACATATATTTTCCATTCTCTCCAAACCAATTTTCTAGTTACTTTGGCAACCTTACTTTGAGTATTGTTTATTTAACCTTGCTTTATTAATCTATAGTGAGGATATGTAGATTGTGAGTATGGGCAATGAAATTTATATTTTAGTTACATTTTAATCATTTGGAAATAACTAATATTACAAATCGTTAATTTTTCTATTTTTTCTTTCATGATAAACAGTATGTATTAGTCCATTTTCATGCTGCTGATAAAGACATACCTGAGACTGGGAACAAAAAGAAGTTTAATTGGACTTACAGTTCCACATGGCTGGGGGTGCCTCAGAATCACGGCTGGAGGTAAAAAGCACTTGTTACATGGCAGTGGCAAGAGAAAAAATGAGATAGAAGCAAAAGCGGAAACCCCTGATAAACCCAACAGATATGGTGAAACTTATTCACTGTCACGTGAATAGGACAGGAAATACCAGCCCCCATGATTCAATTACTTCCCCATGGGTCCCTCCCACAACCCCTGGGAATTCTGGAAGCTACAATTCAAGTTGAGATTTGGGTGGGGACACAGCCAAACCACATCACAGTAAATTACAAACTACTGATGTTTTCATTTACACTGTGTATTCTCTCTTTATTTACACCGTAAATGGTTTCAATACAGAAGATAATTTGATTATATTCACATGGGGATTTTTTAAAATACAATTTTTATTTTATATCAATTTTAGGTTTAAAGAAATAATTTGTGGGCCAGGCGCGGTGACTCACACCTGTAATCCCAGCACTTTGGGAGGCCGAGGTGGGTTGATCACAAGGTCAGAAATCAAGACCATCCTGGCTAACATGGTGAAACCCCATCTCTACTAAAAAATACAAAAAATTAGCTGGGCGTGGTGGCAGGCGCCTGTAGTCCCAGCTACTTGGGAGGCTGAGGCAGGAGAATGGCGTGAACCTGGGAGGTGGAGCTTGCAGTGAGCCGAGATTGTGCCGCTGCACTCCCGCCTGGGGAACAGAGCAAGACTCTGTCTCAAAAAAAAAGGAAAAAAAAAGAATTTGTGAAGATAGGACAGACAGTTCCCATATACTGCACCCCCACAGTTTCCCCTAGTATTAACTTCTTACATTAGCATGGTATCTTTGTTACAATGAATAAAAATGTTATTGATAAATTGTTGTTAAAGTCTATACTTTATTTAGGTTTTCTTCGTTTTCATTTAATGTCCTTTTTGCATTTCGTGGATCACTGCCAAGATATCATATTAGATTTGATCATCATGTCTGTTTAGGCTCTTCTTGTTTGTGACAGCTTCCAGACTTTCCTTGTTTTTGATGCTTTGGCAGTTTTAAGCAGTCCTAGTCAGCTATTTTGTCCAATGCCCTTTAATTTTGGATTTTATCTTTTTCTCATGATTATGCTGTGGAGAAAGACCACAGAGGCAAATTGCCATTTTAACCAAATTCTATCAAAGACACATATTATCAACATGACTTTTCACTGTTGATGTTGAGCATGGTCACCTAACTAAGGTAGTATTCTTCAGGTTTCAAAATTTATTCATTTTCTCCCTTCCTATTCTGTATTCTTTGGAAGTTTCTAAGAGTAGCTAACACATAAAGAGTGGAGTGTATCTACATAAATTATTTGGAATTGTTCTGCACAGGAGATTTGTCTTTCTCCCCCATTTGCTTATTTAATCTTTTAATTTATATCAGTGTGAACTCATGGATATTTATTTTATAATTTGGATAACAAATCAATACCACTTTATTTTTTTGCTCGAGTTATTTCATCTTTGGCTATTCTTTTAGTTGGCTTCTGTGTCCCTTTGACGTACCCCAATCATCGTGAGTTTTTTTTTTAATTTGGCATTTTCTTACTTTCTGGCACTATGATGAATGCTCCGTGCTTATTTTGCATTTTTTTGTCCCAGTTCTAGAATCATCTATTTTTCTGAGAATCTCTGGTTTCTTTTTTCTTTGCTTTTGAGAATGGCATTAGAAACCAAGACATGGATATAATCAGTCATTTTTGAAAATAATCTCTTGGATTTTTTTCTCTTTCCTGACCAATATTAGTGCCATCCCCTTAGGCTGTGGTCCAACATACAATATTTGTGGACTTTTATATTTTCCTGCTAACAGCTTCTAGAATAATATTTCCAAGATTTTTTCAAACATTCCACTGAGTACTTACATATGTATCATCATACATATTGCCTTTGTGACCAGAGCTAAGCTTTTCAATATTCATTAAAGAATGTGCATCATTTTGTCCTATGGTACTTATTACATTTTATTCTCTATCTTTCTAAATAACCAACCTGTTTCCTAGTTGGGCTGACCATTTCGCAGCCTCTCATAAGTACAATGCTCTTTCCTGTTTCTGCTTTTTAAATACAATTTTCTTATGTAGGATTTTCTCACTTTCAGATATAATTCCAGACTTATCTCCATATATTAATTATCAGATTTTGTTAGAGTAATTTGAATGTACTTAGACATCACCAGCTTGTATGTACAAATGAGGTCACATTAATATGTGTGCCCACCTATAACTGAGTGACTTTTACTCCTACCTGCAAAGTTTCTCCTCTACATTTTTTTTTTTTTCAGATGGAGTCTTGCTCTGTCACCCAAGCTGGAGTGCAGCGGCTCGATCTTGGCTCACTGCAAACTCTGCCTCCTGGGTTCAAGCAATTCTTCTGTCTCAGCCTCCCAAGTAGCTGGGATTACAGGTATGCACCATCCTGCCTGGCCAATTTTAGTATTTTTAGTAGAGAAGAGGTTTCACATATTGGTCAGGCTGGTCTTGAACTTCACCCACCTCGGCCTCCCAAAGTGCTGGGATTATAGATGTGAGCCACCGCACCCAGCCATGTCTACTCTACTTTTAAAGTTTTTTTTTTTTTTGTCTCTCCTATAGACTCTCAATAGGTCCTCAACATATAACATTAATACAGTTAACTTCTTGGGATACTTCTTCTTCCAGGGAAGTGTTTCAACCTCTGATCATGACTGCAGCTAAACATTTTCCTGTGTAATGGTTCGTCAAGCACCTAGCTCCAGCACTGACCATTTTAGAGTCAAGCCACAGCTGGGTTGCTTGGGATTTAAGGTGTCACAGTTTCTACATTGGCTGAGATGAAGGGTATGATACATTAAAATTAAGAATACAATAGTTCCCCCTTATCCTCAAGGGATACATTCCAAGATTTCCAGTGGTTGCCTGAAACCATAGACAGTACTGAACACTACATATACTATGATTTTCCTATACATATATACTTATAACAAAGTTTAATGTATAAATTAGGCACAGTAAGCGATGAACAACAATTAGTAATAGGATAATTATAACAATATGTTGTGTGAATGTGGTCCTTCTCTTTGAAAATATCTTATCCTACTGCATCCACATAGTTTTGGACTGTAGTGACCAGCAGCAACTGAAACCATGGAAAGTGAAACTGAAAATAAGGGTAAACTATGGTAAAGTGAGGCCCTTGTATAAGTTAAGTTCAACCAGTAAAAATGTTCATCAATATCATTCAAGGAAGGCTTATTTATAATGGGTCTTGTGACAGAGGTGTGAACAGGGTGTTAGGGATCCATAGTAGCTAAGGAACCTAGACCAGCAGCAGAGGGGCTGCTACCGCACCAAGGGTAGCCAAAGAGACAACGGGTTGGTGAGTCACATCAGGCAGGCTGCTTGAGTGCAGCAGTGGCCTTCAGAGAGAGATGGCCAGCATGAGGCTGTCTGTCAGGGAAGGAATAAATGATTTGCAGAGTAAAGATACTGGACTCGAAACAATAGAGAATGGAGTAACTAAAAGCTCACATTCTCCTCTCTTCCTCTGACTGTTTCTGGAGTCCTCATTGGCTGGCTGAAGACAATCGGAAGTGAGAGGAAATGGTTATCCTGTTAATACAATCTATACAGGTGAGCCTCAGAGAAATGAGAGGATGGAGAAGGGCAGAGAATGGCTCTAGAGCAGAAAATGGACATACATGGCACAGCCACACTTGACTATTCATATCTGCAAATATTGAGCAATCAGATTTTTTTCTTTTAATACTAAATGACAATTGTCATAATTAGCCTCAAACATTATCAGCGTGTCGTACAGGCTTAATTTTATATCAATACTCTTGAAACTTGAGAGAAAATAAAATTATCACTTAATAAAAACAATAATGCCTTGTACTTTGCATTGGTCCTTGTAATTCTAAGTACTTTTGCATACATGGTCTCATTTAATAGATATTAATGAAATAAATAATATATTTTGTACTATATTCTGGGTGCTGTTCTGAAGGATTTATGTCCTACAACTCTGTAAAGTAGTCTCTTTTATAGATAAGGAAAATGAGACACAGTTACGTTATCTAAGTTGCCAATAGTAAAGCCTGGATATAAACACAGAACCTGCCCTCAAAACCAATGTACATGTGGCTTTTGATACGTACAATAAAAATTGATTGAATTATAAATGTGAGTTAATAGAGTTATTTTGCATAAGAAATAAATGAAGGCTTTAAGAGTATAAGGTGAAGTGCTTTGAATTCTTTTAAGTAAATAATTTAGCAATGGGACAGTAGTCTTAGTTCAGAGCTCTTTTCATTATTTCGAATTTGTAAGGAAGATTTCTTTAATAATCATAATGAGTTCATGTTTCAAGATCTTGTTAGAGCTAATGCAAAAAAATCAAATATAGGTTGCTAGTTGTAAAAAGCCACATTCTCGTTGTTATTAAACACATACAAATATGGAATTGAACTTACTCCATTTAGAAATGATTGATCACTTGTTGATGTCAGAGGTCCTCTGGCAATGCTTCCAAATTTCCTGTGATGATGAAAGGTCATAACATCACTTTTATGTCACTTATATCACTTGTTTTCCTTGGAGAGTGAGAGGTGGCACTACCAGGTAACACAGGTGTCTACAGCTGCAGAATCTGTGATGTTCAGACGCACTATGCTTTTTAATATTCCACTTGGGCAAAATACTTTCAACTATTTCTGTCAGGGCTGCTGTTATTCACAAGTTTTTAATCTTGCAGCCTGAACATGGATAGTTTGAATTTATATTTGGCACATATGTTCTTTACTTTTTAATATTCTCTGTCATCCTCTAGCCCAGTATCCTTAAGATTCATCGGTGTCCCTTAAAAGGCATGTGTACCTTGAATCCTTTACCCTTGTATATTTTTTTTTTTTTTGCTTTCCACTTTCTTTTTTCTTTTTTTTTTATTATTATACTTTAAGTTTTAGGGTACATGTGCACATTGTGCAGGTTAGTTACATACGTATACATGTGCCATGCTGGTGTGCTGCACCCACTAACTCGTCATCTAGCATTAGGTATATCTCCCACTACTATCCCTCCCCCCTCCCCCGACCCCACAACAGTCCCCAGAGTGTGATGTTCCCCTTCCTGTGTCCATGTGATCTCATTGTTCAATTCCCACCTATGAGTGAGAATATGCGGTGTTTGGTTTTTTGTTCTTGCGATAGTTTACTGAGAATGATGATTTCCAATTTCATCCATGTCCCTACAAAGGACATGAACTCATCATTTTTTATGGCTGCATAGTATTCCATGGTGTATATGTGCCACATTTTCTTAATCCAGTCTATCATTGTTGGACATTTGGGTTGGTTCCAAGTCTTTGCTATTGTGAATAATGCCGCAATAAACATACATGTGCCTGTGTCTTTATAGCAGCATGATTTATAGTCCTTTGGGTATATACCCAGTAATGGGATGGCTGGGTCAAATGGTATTTCTAGTTCTAGATCCCTGAGGAATCGCCACACTGACTTCCACAATGGTTGAACTAGTTTACAGTCCCACCAACAGTGTAAAAGTGTTCCTATTTCTCCACATCCTCTCCAGCACCTGTTGTTTCCTGACTTTTTAATGATTGCCATTCTAACTGGTGTGAGATGGTATCTCATTGTGGTTTTGATTTGATTAAAGACTTAAACGTTAGACCTAAAACCATAAAATCTCTAGAAGAAAACCTAGGCATTACCATTCAGGACACAGGCATGGGCAAGGACTTCATGTCTAAAACACCAAAAGCAATGGCAACAAAAGCCAAAATTGACAAATGGGATCTAATTAAACTAAAGAGCTTCTGCACAGCAAAAGAAACTACCATCAGAGTGAACAGGCAACCTACAAAATGGGAGAAAATTTTCGCAACCTACTCATCTGACAAAGGGCTAATATCCAGAATCTACAATGAACTCAAACAAATTTATAAGAAAAAAACAAACAACCCCATCAAAAAGTGGGCGAAGGACATGAACAGACACTTCTCAAAAGAAGACATTTATGCAGCCAAAAAACACATGAAAAAATGCTCACCATCAATACCCTTGGTATATTTTTTAAAATTTACCTAATTCAATACATAACATCTTTATTTTTTAAAAATACAACCCATTTGTTTCCTTTCTCTGACATATTGTGTATTTCAAAAGAATGATATGAGCTTACCTTGTATTGAACATGAGTATCCTATAAAAGTTCATTTTTATAATATAAACCTTTCTACCCTTGTTCTACGTCACACTGTGAGAAACATTATGTGTGCAGGTATGAACACAAAACTTACATGCCCAGTTTCTTTCCATACATCTGGCTCCTTGTATTTAGTGGTGAATGCATCTGTGACATGAACGTACCTCAGAGAATAGACATTTAGAATTAGTGTGTACTTGTCCTAAATGCAAGTTTGGGATATTTGAGCAATGATTTCTGGTTATCATACAGTCTAGAAAGGGATGAGTAAATTTCAAGTGGGCTCATTACTTTGACTTACAGATGCAAAAGGGTATAGTCAGAAGAGAATGCAAGCCAAAGTCAAGTTACCCAAAGTTCAAGGAACAGGTTAGGTCAGTAACTAAGACCCTTCTTGGGTCTACTGGTGAACTGGCATTCAGAGTTTATTAAGAATTTCTGCTTTGCAAATAAATCAAGAAGTGTATATTTTCTTCATCTAGAACAAGAATTCAATGGAAGACTTTAAAATGTGTATGTCCATTCATTTTTTATTTTTATACATTTTACAATTTAAAAAATTATCATTATTACCAAAATTAGAAACTGGATTCCTAGTAATGAGCATCACTGTCTCTATATAACACAGAAGGTGAAAATAACATTACATTTGATTTTTTAATGTGTCATTTCCATTGCTTTCAAAAAAATATTTTTGGCTGGGCACAATGGCTCACACCTGTAATCCCAGCACTTTGGGAGGCCGAGTTGTGCAGATCACGAGGTCAGGAGATGTAGATCATCCTGGCCAACATGGTGAAACCCCATCTCTATTAAAAATACAAAAATTAGCTGGGCCTGGTGGCATGTGTACGTAATCCCAGCTACTCAGGCGGCTGAGGCAGGAGAATCACTTGAACTAGGGAGGTGGAGGTTGCAGTGAGCTGAGATCGCACCACTGCCCTCCAGCCAGGCAACATAGTGAGACTCTGTCATATATATATATGATATATATGATGTATATGATATATATCACATATGATATATAATAAAATAAATATTTATTATGTAATATATAAAAAATAGAGAATGGAGCAACTAAAAGCTCACATTCTCCTCTCTTTCTCTGACTGTTTCTGGAGCTCTCATTGGCTGGCTGAAGACACTCGGAAGTGAGGGGAAATAAATAAATATATATTTATGTACTATATGTAAAATATAATATATATAAAATATATTTTATATAACTATATAATATATAGTTATATAAAATATAATATATATAATATATAGTTATATATAATATAATATATATAATATATAGTTATATATAATATAATATATATAATATATGTTATATATAATATAATATATATAATATATAGTTATATATAATATAATATATATAATATATAGTTATATATAATATAATATATATAATATATAACAAAAATTATATATTATATATAGTAATATATATAACATATAAAGTATATTATAGATAAAATATATATATAATATATTTTATTATATATAATATATTATGTGTGTGTGTATATATATATACACACACTTTTATATGAGTTTGATGGGTTTGGACATAGACAAACATCCATAAAACCATGACCACAATCAAGGTAATGCATGTCATCACCTCCAAAATTTCTTTGTGACCTGTCTTAACATATTTTTCATATATTTTTATTTTTTTCTGATTAGAATACTTAACTTGAGATACACCCTCTTACCAAAAAATTTAAGAGCACAATACAGTATTGTTAACTATAGGCGCTACATCTTACTCATCTTGTATATTTGAAACATTTTACTTGTTGAACAGAAACTCCCCATTTCCCTCTCTCCTGCCAATGATTTCTTAGATACGACATAAAAAACATAGACAATAAAAGCACAAATAGACAAGGGAGACTGCATTAAAATAAAATTGTTTTATTGCAAGGGAAACAATCCAGATAAGAAGAGGCAACCTACAGAATGTAAGATGATATTTGTAAACCATATATTTGATAAGAAGTTAATGTACAAAATGTATAAGGAATTCCTACAACTCAATAGAAAAAAAAACACAAAACATATTTGAAAACCTAAAATAAACGTGTAACTTCCTAGAAACACACAAGCTACCAAGACTGAATCATGAAGAAATAGAAATCTGAACAGAACTGTAAAGAAGAAAGAGATTGAATCAGAACCAAAAACATCCCAACAATGAAAAGCCCAACAGTAAATGGCTTCACTGGAGAATTCTACCAAACATCTAAAGACTTAACACCAATTTTTCTTAAACTCTTTCAAAAAATTGAAAAAGAAGAAATACAAATTCAGTTTACAAGGCCAGCATCACCAAAGCCAAAGATATCACAAGAAAAGAAAACAATAAATCAATCACTCTGATACAGATGCAAAACTCCTCAACAAAATACTGACAAAATGAACCCAGCAGTACCTTAAGAGGATCATACCCCATGACCAAGTGGAATTTATCTCTGGAATGCAAGAATGGTTTAATATAAACAAATCAAATAATGTAATAAACCACATTAAGAGGATAAAAATCACATGATCATCTCAAAATATGCAAAAAAAGAATTTGACAAAAATCAACACCTCCATAATAAAACGACTCAACAAACCAGGTCTAGAAGGAATTTACTTTAACATAATAATGGCCATATATGACAAGCCCACAGCTAACATCATCCTCAATAGTGAAAAACTAAAATATTTTTCTCTAAGATCAGGAGTTAGACAAGGATGCCCACTATCACCACTTTTATTCAACATGGTTCTGGAAGACCTTATCAGAACAATGAAGCAAGAAAAAGAAATAAAAGACATATAAACCAGGAATAAAATAAAATTACTTGTTTGCACAAGACCTGATCTTATATGTGGAAAACTCTAATGACTAAACAAAAAACTCTTAGAACTAAAAAACAAATTCAAGCAATTTGCATAATACAAAATCAACATACAAAAATCAGTTGTGTTTCTATACACTAACAACAAACTATCTAAAAAGGAATTTAAGACAACAATTCCACTTACAATAGTATCAAAAAGAATAAAACCCATAGAAATAAATTTCAGTGAAGAAGCTCATGTATAGGAAGAATTAATTTCATTAAAGTGGCCATACTGCCCAAAGCAATTTACAGATTAAATGCTCTTCATATTAAAAGACCTGTGACATTCTTCACAGAACTATAAGAAACTATTTTAAAATTCATATGGAACTGAAAAAGAGCCCAAATAGCCAAGGTAATCTTAAGCAAAAAGAACAAATCTGGAGGTATCATGCTACTTGACTTCAAACTATTCTACAGGACTGTGTTAATCAAAACAACATGGTACAGGTACAAAAACCGACACATAGATCAATGGAACAGAATAGAGAGCCCCAAAATAAGGACACACACCTACAACCATCTGGTCTTTGACAAAGCTGACAAAAACAAGCAATGGTGAAAGAATTTTCTATTTAATAAATGATGATGGTATAACTGGCTAGCCATATGCAGAGGACTAAAATTGGACACCTTCCTTACACCATATGCAAAAATTAACTCAAGATGGATTAAAGACTTAAATGTAAAACCCCAAACTATAAAAACCCTGCAAGATAACCTAGGCAATACTGTCCTGGACATAGGAACAGGCAACGATTTCATGACAAAGACACCAAAAGCTATTGCAACAAAACCAAAAATTGACAAATGGGAGCTGATTAAACTAAAACAAAGTAAACTATCAACAGAATAAACAGAAAACCTACAGAATGTGAGAAATATTTGCAAATTGTGCATCTGATAAAGGTCTAATATCCAGCATCTATAAGGAACTTAAACAAATTTACAAGAAAAAAAACCAAACAACCCCATTAAAAAGTGGGCACAGGACATGAACAGACATTTTTCTAAAGAATACATACATGCAGCCAACAAGCATATATATATATGCTCAATATCACTGATTATTAGAGAAATGCAAATCAAAACTGCAATGAGATACCATCTCACATCAGTCAGAATGGCTATTATTGAAAAGTCAAAGATTTAACTGATGCTTGTGAGGCTGTGGAGAAAAGGGAACTCTTGTACTTTGTTGGTTGGAGTGTAAATTAGTTCAACCATTGTGGGAAGCAGTATGGTGATTCCTCAAAGAGCTAAAAGCAGATCTGCTAAAAGCAGATCCACCCAGCAATCCCATTACTGGGCATATACCCAGAGGAATATAAATCACTCTACCATAAAGACACACGCATGCAAATGTTCTCTGCAGCACTATTCACATTGGCAAAGACATAGAATCAACCTAAATGCCCATCAGTGATATATTGGATAAAGAAAATGTGGTACATATACAGCATGGACTACTATGCAGCTATAAGAAAGAACAAGATCATTTCTTTTGTGGGAACATTGATGAAGCCAGAGCCCATTATTCTTAGCAAACTAACACAGGAACAGAAAGCCAATACTGCAGGTTCTCACTTATTATTGGGAGCTTAATGATGAGAATTCATTAACACAATGAAGGGAACAAAAAATACTGGGGAATACAAGAAGGTGGAAGGTTGGAGGAGAGAGAGGAGCAGAGCAAACAACTTTTGGGTACTTGGCTTAGTACCTGGGAAATGAAATAATCTGTACAACCCCCACTGTGACAGGAGTTCACTTGTGTAACAGACCTGTACAAGTACCCCGAACCTAAAATAAAAGTTAAAAAAAAATTCAAGAGGAAAGACATTCCTTGTTTACAGATTGAAAGACTTAATATGGTTAAGATGTTCATACTACACAAAGGATCTTATGTATTTCAATATAATTCCTATCAAAATTACAATGGTATTTTTTTCAGAAATAGAATAAACAATACTGAAATTCATATGAAGAACCAAGGGCCCCAAACAGCTGAGACATCTTGAGAAAAACAACAAAACTAGAGGGCTCCTACTTCTCGTCTTCAAAACATATTATAAATCTACAGTGATCAAACCAAGATGGCACTTGCAAAAAGATAGACACATGGACCAGTGGAACAGAATATAGAGAATATACAGACCAGAAATAAATCTAGATGTTTATCATCAAATGATCTGCCACAAGAGTGTCAAGACTATGCAATGAGGACAGGATAGACTCTTCAACAAATGGTATTGGGAAAACTGAATATCTAAATGCATAAGAATGGGATTGGCCCCTGCTTTACACCATGAAAAGTTAATTCAAAATGGATTAAGGACTTAAACATAAATGTTTGAATATTGGAAAGATGCAATGACCATTTGTTTTCATTTTGTAAAAGCCTCAAAAAACCTGATGTCCATCATCAAAAATCAAAAGAACTATAGTGACATTAGCAAAGTTGCATACCTCTGAAAACGTGGATTGTTTGTGCAAGGATGAGAATAAAATTTCTCAAGGTTTGGGAACAGAAATCCTTCAGGAAGGGTGTAGGAAAGTCAGTATTAATATTACGTAACATGAGGTCAAAGGCAGAACTTTTGGGACTACATTCTTTTAAAAAAGGGTCTTCAAGAGTCTGCATCACAATAGGGTCTAGATTTAGGTAAAAATTGATAAGACAAGATAATTGAAAGTATAATGAAATTCAGAACTAGAGGTGATATTGAAGTCATCTTTAGAAAGGTCAGGAAATAGCTTGGGAGAGACTGAAATTCTCAGACACAACAGAGCCCATAGAAGATAACTCATGATATAATTTTCTGAGTGAATGAGGAAAAAAATTGATGGTCATTGTAGGGGCTCTGAGTTTTTTAGAAATTGTGCCAACCATGAAATTTGTTACTAGACTTTTGTTGCAAATTTAGAAACCTTCTCTATAATTGTTCATTTTCATTTTATATTAATTTCTTAGTAGAATTCTATTAGCCAAAGTTTTTTGTTGAAAGCAACAAAGTTTGACTCAGAGAAATTCTCACGTAAACTTAATTTACTGAAAGTTATTTCATAGCTTGTAGAAATTTGGAAAAGTTTGAAAAACCTGGCTTAACAGTAGATAGGAATTAACCAAAACTAGAGAATTTATAAGAGCTATCTGGGAAGAACAATTCTGCCTCATTCTTTGAGATACTCACTCCAGATTTAATGGGTATGGTGGTATGTTTGGCTGAGCTGAGGTCCCATGCCCATGCCCAAACAACCAGACAGGCAGAAAAATACATACTTTGGACATTTTAGCTTCTGTATTTTGAGGCATATCTTGCTTCCCACAAGATTCACATATTCGGATGCTGAGATATTCACTTAATAATGACTTTCATTGCTTTAAAAAGAAAACATCTATTTGACTACCTGAAGAGAAAAAGATAAAAGATATGTCTATACTTGGACACACATAAAGAGTGGTATCAGAGCTTCCTGAAAGCAAAAACATAGTCTTATCAGAGTGTATATCAACAAGAAATCCAGGGAAAATGAGGGAAAACAGTAGTTAGTGAAGCAAACCTTAGAGTGGAAATATAGCCATGATTGTTGTTGTTTTTCCATAGTGTGCAGTAAAGGATTAACTCATCAGGCCTGGTTTGCCCAAACCCTGCACATTCTAAAGGCCTTCAGGATTGGCTCCTGATTGACTTCCAGAAGATAACTTCTGAGCCCTTGGAATATTCTGCCTTATAAAAATGTATTAGTATACCTGAGACCTTGCACCACACCAGGTAGGTTATGCTAATAGTATGAGTTATGGTGATTGTTTTTGTAAGAATTTCTGGGTCTTTGAACCATGATATATTAGTTGACCTCTTGAGAGGCTTGAGTGTGAGTAGCTAAGGTCAGTCACACAGGCAATACATGCTTAGGAGACTGACTCCCAAATAAAATCCCTGGACACCAAGGCCCAGGTGAGCCTCCCTTGTCACACACTGTTGTTGGGAGAACTAAGTATTGACTGGGTGGCTCCCCCAGGAGAAGCCAACTGTATGTAATGCCTGGTTTCTTCTGGACTCTCCTTCTATACCTTTTTCCTTTGATGGTTTCAATCCCTATACTTTTCCTATAATAAACTATAACCATGAGTATAATACATTTCTGGGTCCTGTGAATCCTTCCAGTAAAGCCTCAAATCTGAGAGTGGTCTTGGGGACCCCAACACACATGGCAAATGAGATTTAAAGAGTTAATCCATTCTCTCTAGTTACCAACCTTTTGCCTAGGGATTGCTATTGTAATGTGTTACGTGATATTATGTTCTATTTTTATTCAAGATAAATATAATGCACATTGGATAGAAGGAAGAAAACAATAAGCTGGAGAATTAGTAATTGACCAAATGCTTCCAAAAACATTGTGTAATAATATAAGAAGCAAGACCAATAAGAAACAAACAAAAAATATTTGGAAGTTGACATTGTTCATGAACAGCAAAGCAATAATCCAATACTTCACATCATTTCCTTCTCAGAACGCAGATAATCATACACTGTTTTTGCATAAATTTTTTTTTAACTCTCCCTTTTTCTACCTTCTGTAAATGCCCCTTATTTATTTATGGGGTTGAGTTGGCAAGATGTGAGTTACAGTGACAAAACAAACATGATAAATTTCTGCTGCCCTGTGAAATTCTTTCAGTGTGGCATTCTTTTGCTGTTTAGAATCTTAATGTTACGCTCAAGCAGGCCTTTCCATCCATCAGATAGCAGGCTGCCATCTGTAGAACTGCCAGTGTACTAAGATTTATGTGTTACTATTTAAGGAATTTAGGTTTGGCAATTTCATGCTGTTGATTTGGCCAAACAATAATATGCTAATTAACCTGCTTGACCTAAATTATACAGTACTTGTGGATGTGCGGCCAACTCAATTGCTCAACTGGCTGAGCATTCTTGACCCTACAGTTTTGCATATAAGAAGCTTTACTTCAAAAAACAGTTATTGGACTGCTGCACTTCATCATCTGAAAGGAAATTTATTATCTTCAGTTTACTAAAGGAAATTTATGTTTCATTTGGTTTGTTATGATTATACCAATATTTTACAGTTAATGTGCATCGTCAGGGACAAAAATTTTACTTTCCCAGAATCATCTATATTTTTTATTTGGCTAACATACTGATAACAAAGAGTAGATATTTATATTTATTTTTGCTTGCGCCTAGGACATGAAATTAAAAATACATATGTAGATTTCAGGTTATATAAACTCCCAAAAGCTATGTGCAAAAAAAAAAAAAGTATGTGTTAATGGTATTTTACTGGAAAAGGTTTTCTTAAGATTCTCACAATGGATTCTTGCCCCCAAAATAAAATTTTAAAAAATAGTTATTGGAATTAAAATTAGGGATCTTTTTTATAATAATTTCTTTCTGTGGGCCCATATCTCTGGTTACTTACTCATCCTGTAATGCTGGAAATTCACTGTGGTATTTCTCATTGCCCTCTCCACCACCACCAAACTGTTGATCTGCTGTTTTAGCAGAACTCAAATATATGAAACTCTCAGATAATCAGAAATAATTAAAAACAATAGGGAAATCAAAGAAAATTATCGCAGGTAACCCCTTTAAGCATTAAACTCCCTAGCACACCAGGTGTTAAACTGCTCAGATCCCAAAGATTAAAATCTTTTTTTAATTTTTTTTTAGAGACGGAGTCTCGCTCTGTCACCCAGGCTGGAGCGTAGTGGCGCAATCTCGGCTCGCTGCAAGCTCCACCTTCTGGGTTCACGCCATTCTCCTGCCTCAGCCTTCCGAGTAGCTGGCACTACAGGCACCAGCCACCACGCTTGGCTAATTTTTGCATTTTTAGTAGAGGCAGGTTTTCACCGTGTTAGCCAGGATGGTCTCGATCTCCTGACCTCGTGATCCGCCTGCCTCGGCCTCCCAAAGTGCTGGGATTACAGGCGTGAGCCACCGCGCCCGGCCCCAAAGATTAAAATCTTTTGATATCGTGATGACAGAAGGAAATAAAAAGCTTAGAAAAACATGCAGTAGGGAGATGAAAACGAAAGAATAGAGAGAAAAAGAAAAATGACAAATGGAAGATAATGTAGAAAAATGTACAGAGGATTTTTTTTAATGTAAACAGTATGCATGTAATAAAGAAGCAACCAAAACAAAAAACTGGGTGTATGGTCCTGTAAATCAGTGCTTTGCAAACTTTACAGGGCACAGAAACTATCTACGGCTCTTGTTAAAATGTAGATTCTGACTCAGTAGCTCTGGAATGGAAACTTCCATTGTGCCTTTTTTTTTTTTGAGGCGAAGTCTTGCTCTTGTCCCCCAGGCTGGAGTGCAATGGCATGATCTTGGCTCACTGCAACCTCTGCCTCCTGGGTTCAAGCAATTCTCCTGCCTCAGCCTTCCGAATAGCTGGGATTACAGGCACGTGCCACCATGCCTGGCTAATTTTTGTATTTTTAGTAGACACGGGGTTTCACCATGTTGGCCAGGCTGGTCTCGAACTCCTGACCTCAGGTGATCCACCCGCCTTGGCCCCCCAAAGTGCTAGGATTACAGGTTCCATTATGCATTTCTAACAAGCTTGCAGGTGATACTAATGATGGTCACAGGCCATATTTGAATTAACAAGCCTGTAAGCTGTCAAATTCTACCTACTGCCTGAATTCTACAATATCTGTAAAGCAAAATCAAAGCTAAGAGACTTTCAAAAAATTGTGCTAATAGTAAAAAAAGTTATGTCTTTGCATATATTGAAAGGGAGCAAGAATAAGTTCAGTAGAAGAATGCAGTATTGGTTCATCTATGCTAAAAGGCATTACATAATGAATGCCTGCTATCTTTGCTAGCACACTATCAGGTAAAGATGGTGTAGGTCTCTAATCAATATGATTGAATTAGTGCAAATGAGAAATATTATTTGTTTTCCATTAAATGGTCAGTTAAATGTATGTATTTTTGGCTTAGTGCTTGCTAAGAAAGCATAGCTTTAATTTTATTTTTAATTTTACTTTAAGTTCAGGGATACATGTGTAGAACGTGCAGGTTTGTTACATAGGTATACATGTGCCGTGGTTTGCTGCACCTTTCAACCCTTCATCTACATTTTAAGCCCCACATGCATTAGGTATTTGTCCTAATGCTCTCACTCCCCTTGACCGCAAACCCCCGGCAGGCTCTGGTGTGTGATGTTCCCCTCCCTGTGTCCATGTATTCTCATTGTTCAACTGTCACTTATGAGTGAGAATATGTGGTGTTTTGTTTTCTGTTCCTGTGTTAGTTTGCTGAGAATGATGGCTTCCAGCTTCATCCACGTCTCTGCAAAGGACGTGATTTAAGCTGATAAGCAACTTCAGCAAAGTCTCAGGATACAAAATTAAACTGCAAAAATCACATGCATTCCTATACACCAACAATAGACAAGAAGAGAGCCAAATCATGAATGAACTCCCATTCACTATTGCCACAAACAGAATAAAATATCTAGGAATACAACTTACAAGGGATGTGAAGGACCTCTTCAAGAAGTACAAACCACAGCTCAAGGAAATAAGAGAGGACGCAAACAAATAGAAAAACATTCCATACTCGTGGATAGAAGAATCAATATCATGAAAATGGCCCTACTGCCCAAAGTAATTTATAGATTCAATGCTATTCTCATCACGCTACCATTGACTTTTTTTCACAGAATTAGAAAAAATACTTTAAATTTCATATGGAACCAAAAAAGAGCCCATATAGCCAAGACAATCCTAAGCAAAAAGAACAAAGCTGGAGGCATCACACTACCTGACTTCAAACTATGTTACAAGTCTATAGTAACCAAAACAGCATGGTACTGGTACCAAAACAGGTATATAGACCAATGGAACAGAACAGAGGGCTCAGAAATAGCACCACACATCTACAACCATCTGATTTTCGACAAACCTGACAAAAACAAGCAATGGGGAAAGGATTCCCTATTCAATAAATGGTGCTGGAAAAACTGGCTAGCCATATGTAGAAAACAGGAACCGGACTCCTTCCTTACACCTTATACAAAAATTAACTCAAGAAGTATTAAAGACCTAAATGTAAAACCCAAAACCATCAAAACCCTAGAAGAAAACCTAGGCAATACCCCTCAGGATATAGGCATGGGCAAAGACTTCATGACTGAAACACCAAAAGCAATTGCAATAAAAGCCAAAATTGACAAATGGGATCTAATAAAACTAAAGTGCTTTAATTTTTTAAAGACTATTTACCAAGCACTGTAAGTGGCTTTAAAGTTCTGCCCCATTTTCCCAGTACTGTAGCTTTTTTTTTTTTTTTGCAGGTGACTAGCTTTATTAATACACAGCTTCTTTGTTCAAATATAAGCAGAGAAATATGTAATCTTACCATTTTCTCATATAAATTGGATACCATACGTTCTCTTCTAGACTTTGCTTTTTTCATATATACCATATTTTGTATACCTTTCTATATAAGTATATAAGATAGGATGCTTTTATTCTTTTTTACAATGGGAAAAAACAAGGGTTTATTTAACCAGTCTCCTATTGGTAGATTATTTTCCTACAATTTGTGACAAATTGTACCCAAGATATTTCACATATTTCCATATATTCTTTTGTCTAATTTGGATTTGTTTTCTTTCTCTGTTTGAATGATCCATATATTTATGGACTAGTGCCATATGGCTTCAAATATGGAGGCTTTGTATGTGTAAATTTGGGGGAGGTTTAAACCTTCTTCGTTGGTCCTTTTATAAAAATGCACTGAATATTCTTATTTATTTTTGCTAAGAACTTTAACATCTGCTGATATAGTATAAAAAGTTTATTCTTATTTAATTGAGTTTATTTTAAATGTGTAGGATAACTTATAGATGAAAAATATTTATTTTATGCCTAAGATGTGCTAAGCACTGTTCCAGTGCTGGGGATACAGCAGTGGAGGAAAAAGAAAAAACATAAATGTACTTAAGACGTTGAAACATAAGAAACTTACGTTTTTGTGATGTTATATGTACAATGAGAACAATAAAATGAATAAATAACATAATATATTAAAAGTTTTCAGTGCTATGGACAAAACTGAATTAGAGAATGTAGATACAGAGTGTGAGATGGGATGAATGTATGGGATATTATCAATCAATCAATCAATCATCTATTTATCTGTCTGATAATGAGCATATCTACCCAAGAACCTGGGACACTTTTCTATTTATAAAACCTTTTGTGTCCGTCAGTGCCTGTTTATTCAACATCTGTTATGTACCAGCCTATTTCTACTTGATTGGGATTAACTGTGTTTATGATGCTTACATTTTGGTGGAGGGTGAAAAACAATGAAGAAAGTATAAAAAACAAAAGATATAGTGGATTCAAAGTGAATACGTGATTAGGGAAAAGCAAGGCAGGAAAGGAGGATAGAACCAGATTGCCTCTGTGTGTGTGTGTGTGTGTGTGTGTGTGTGTGTGTGTGTGTGTGTGTATGGTTATGTATGTGTTGGTGAGGAGGGAAAGCAGTATAGATGTATTTTTATGATGCAGTGTTTTCGATTCAAAATCATATATACATTTTCATTTGATCAATTTTTATGCCTTTCAATAGTGTTTTAAAATATACTACATATAGCTCTTGCATATTTCATGTTCAGTTACACTTAGGGATTTTATCTTTTGTTTTTGCTATTCTTACTGGCAATTTTTCCCACTGGATCTTTGAAAGAGTCACATATATGTGTATATGAAAGCATATACTAAATTTAGATTATTATTAACTTGATGCTCTGTCATGAAAGTGACTCTGTGTATGCTTTTTATATTTATAACTCAAACTAGAGTTTAGCAAGCTCACTTGTTATAGATTCATATAGGATATATACATAGATATGCTTTTATGTATGTTTATGGATGATGTATATATATGTATGTACACATAAATATAGATATTTTAGCGAAAAAGGAGAGAGGACAGAGGGAGAATCTTACAAAAAACAATGCAAAATATCATTCTACAGAAAAAGATTTATTGAAAAATTTAAGAAGATATCAAAAAATGGAGTAATGTACTATATTTCTAGATAGAAATTTTAAAATGTCAACTATACAAATTCATATGTAGCTTTAATGCAATTTAAAGCAAACTCTTACATTTTAGAAGTACTTGATAATCTGCTTTTACAATTCAGTTGGAAGAACAAAGGCCAAAATATTCATGAATAGAAGAATTAATATCAGTGACATGATTTACCAGATATCAGGATGTATCATAAAGCCAAGGGTACTAAATGTGGCACTTCATCTGCTGCACAGATAAAGACACTGGTATTCAGAGACCAGAAACCGATCTCTACATATAAAAAATTTTATTTAAGACTGATTAATAGAGTTAGGATAGAATGTTCTATAAATGTCCTGATATAGTTGACTAAAAGTTTATGTCCATGTGTCTAAAAATATACAAAAGTCAATTCAAGACACATAACTTAAATATAAAAAACAAAGCCATACAACTTTTGGAAGAAAAATAGAAGACTGTCTTTATGACTTCTGATTAAGTAAAGATTTCTTAAACAACACTTAAGCAGTGCTAAGTAAAATAGAATTGATGGAACTACACTAAAACCATTATAAAGAAAATAGAAATACAAGCCACACATTCAGTAAGGATATTAACAATATGCATAAGATGAAAAAGTAAAAAAATCCAGAGTATATGAAGAACAAATCAATGACTTATAAAGACAAACCAGTATAAGCATATGCCAAAGCAAAAAATTGAATTTAAAGAAAACAGGAAACTCAACTTCATTAGTCATCACCAACTAAAAATTAAAACATAAATAGACACTATTTAAATGCTACAAGTCACTCAAATTTAAAAAGTCTGAAAATCCCACATGTGGACAAGGGTATGGATCAATGGGAACTCCAATATATTACTGGAGCAAGTGTAAATGGAACACAATTTATTATTATATAAAACTAAACATACGTGAGTCAGTAATTATGAAACTTTATCTACAATTCTTTGACAATTCCATGAAAGTCATTTGGAGAACCTTCGAAATATATTTATTCTGTGACTTCACCAAAGAGCAACTAATTCAAGACTCTTATAAATGATTGTGCAAACATCAGTATTTCTTAGTAGCTCTTTTCATGATTGGTATGTACAGTTAGGTTTGAGGAATACAGTCCTAGAATGTCTCTCATATGTGACCCAAGAGACACGAAGGAGAATGCTCATTACAACTTTGTTTATTATTGCAAAATACTATAGTCAACTTAGATGTCCACAAACCATAGAGTTAAAGAAACTGACTATCAATCATCTGACAGAATGCTTTATGGCAGCAAAAAATGAACAGACTACAGGCATACGTGTCATCATGGATTAGCTTCAAATAAACTTGAATAATATCATTGGTTAGAGTCCTCAGAAAACTAACTATAACTTTGACATTTGTGCTTAGATTTATTAGGGAGTGCTCTTGGGAACAGTACCCATGTGCAGTGAGACATGCAGAGTTGGTAAGAGGGAAGTTGAACCATGATGCAGTTGTAACAAAAGCCTCAGCCAACCCAAGGGGGATCTTTGTCTAGGATGGCCTTTCCACATTGTCCCAACTGAGGCAAACCAGACTGAGTATTACCAGATTGAACATTACCTTTGTTGGCTGTTCATCTCTCCTGAGTGTGGAGATGGGTTCTACTGACTACCTCCATAATCCTTTGAGGGCCAGATACCCCTGGATGATACTCTGACCATGTCATTCACTGTAAGCATTATATCCAGTTTGCTTCTAATAGTTGAGTTCCTTCTGACTGCCCTTGTTTAAGAATCCCATCATTGTCTTTGCTAACATCACCCAGTTCTGTAATAGCATCTCTTACCTTTAGCTCTGGACTACAAAGAAAAGCTATTTCGGTGAATAGAAGAATGGAATGTTCTCTGGGTTTTATGGTGGATTTGATGACTTAAGAATTTCTAATCTCTGAGCCTTTTGATCTCTTCTACTGTTTGCTATGGAAGTTCTGGATTCCTAATATTCTAAGTTTGAACCATTTCTTTTTCCAAGCTTTTCTATGCCAATCTAAAAACATATTAACACACTATTTCATGATATTTGTTTGCCAGGATGTTTAATTCCATAGCATGGGAGAGACCTCTCATTTCAACAAATCCTAATGGTATATTTGATCTCTCTTATTCCACCAGCTAAAAGATCCAGTCCCTTATGTACTCTCCCCATTCCTGCTGGGACATGTTGGCTAGGTCTTGCGACTCCGTTGAGGATGTAGTCCCTTTCCTTTCTTAGCAGACCCAGACATTCCGTGGCCAGATTTTATCATGACTTTATTCTAGTTGTTGGTCTAGTATCCAGGGTAGGGAAGAGGATCTTGAGTGGGACATATGTTGTCTCGAAAAGCAGAAAACTCTGACATGGCTTCAAGCCAGAATGGAGTACTTGTCTTCAAAAAGAATGAGTGAGCTACTTACCAGGTGCAGAGTATTCAGGAGAATCTGAGATTCAAGAAACTGAGGTTGTTGACACAGATATCCCATTCCCAGTCTTTGCATCCCATTTCTTGCATAGCAGAGCCCTGATGTTCCTATAGAAATCCTGTCAGTGCTACAAGTTCAATCTTCCACAGAACACTTTTCCTCTCAAAATAGAATCCTCTGACTGACCCTCAGCTTTTCTGCCCCCTTGGAAGCTCAGAAATTCTTTACATGCTGTGAAGAATACTTTCTAGTTTTCACACTTTGCCTTATGTAGACAATTCATAGCTTCCAGCTTTTGCTATCTTCTTTAACACCTTGATAGGCCCAAGAAACTTATCCAATTCCATAGTCCTCATGATTCCTGTTTCCCTCATACTTCTTAAACACCTGAGATATTGCACCTACTAATATGTTCTGTTTAACCAGTATTCCATTTGAGTTCATCACTGATGAAAGTTTAACAAATTCACCACTATGATATACCAGTGATAATCAGTGATTTGTCTGCTACAAGTGTTGGGGATCCTCATTATCAGCAGCCTGGGTGGTGACCAGCTTCAGCATCTCATTTTAGAGTCTTCCCCTTGAGTACAACATTGGCACCAATTGTCATTGATTGTGTTCTTCCAGAAACACTCTGACATTTGTGTGCAGGTTTATTGAAGAGGGTCAGTGAGATCAACACCTATGAGATTTAAGACAAGCCACATAGGGCAGAAGTAAGAAGTTGGCCTGTGATACAATTCCAGCAGATACTATAGGAAGATCCACAGTTAAGATGTCTTTTCAATGTTGCCCATTTGAGGCAAGAAGCCCAAGCATTTGCTCCTATACAAGTTTGATAAAAGCTAAAAATTAAATTGTCATCTGTCTCTGCATATACATATTTGTTATATATATATACACATATATATTTACACGTATATACACACACACATATATATACACGTATATATATACACACATATATATACACGTATATATACACACATATATATACACGTATATATACACACATATATATACACGTATATATACACACATATATATACACGTATATATACACATATATATACGTATATATACACATATATACACGTATATATATACATATATACACGTCTATATATACGTATATATATATACGTGTATATATATATTTGTGTCTGTGTAGGTTGAACAGCAATAAAGGTAAGCAAGGAAATAATTTGTACAAAATGTACTGTTTGCTATGGTTTGGCTGTGTCCCCACTCAAATCTCACCTTGAATTGTAATAATCCACACATATCAAGGATGGAACCAGGTGAAGATAACTGAACCATGGGGGCAGTTTCCCCCATGCCGTTCTCGTGGTAGTGAATAAGTATCATGAGATCTGATGATTTTATAAATGGGAGTTCCCCTGCACAAGCTCTTCCTTGCCTGCCGCCATGTAACAAGTCCCTTTGTTCTTCCTTCATCTTCCATCATGATTGTGAGGCCTCTCCAGCCATGTGGAACTGTGAGTCAATCAAACATCTTTCCTTTATAAATTACCCAGTCTCAGGTATGCCTTAATTAGCAGCATGAGAACAGACTAATACACTATTGTACTCAACTGGATGGAGAGAGGGATTGGTTATCAGGGAGGTCACACAGGAGGTTAAAAGAATAAAGTATTATTATTATAGTTTTATTAATACTATTTAATAGTAAAGTATTATTAAAGTATGATTTTTTTAAAGGAGGAGGTTAATATAAAGTATTATTTCTGAAGCTGAGTGCTCGATACATGTGTGTCCATTTTATTTTTCTCTAATATATACATTTAAATTTTATGTATTTATATTTTTATCTTTTTTAAAGGAAAAGATAATGAAAATACAAGAGAATGATTAATTTTTTTAACATTACATTTAAAACAAGTCAAGAATGTGGTGTGAGTACTAAAAGTGCTAAAGAAAGGGATTCCTAGTATCTCAAATAAGGGGATAGATAATGCTATCTTGATGGCATCCGTCACTGAACTTGAAGACTGCTAGGGACTCCAACCAAGGCAAATTCGATGGGGAAGAAATTATAAATTAAGCCATGAATATCTTCTCTAGGGCAGGAAACACTTTATCTGGACATTTGTGCTTCCTTCAAACATTCTTTGTAAAAAATTCTGTTCTGCGAAAATGTTTTTGACTTGTCATGGTGATATGAAAAGGTGAAGTCAGAGGCAATAGGAAAATCAGAAGTAAAAGATAGTTGGTCTTACAATAGGAAGAAATTTCAAACCAAACACCAAAGACAGAATTAATTCATTTAGAAAATTGTATGTTTGCTGTCACTGGAAATGTAAAAAAGTAAGCTGGACCACTACTTGATCTGAATATTATAGAGGGAATTTAAGAAAAGAAGCAGTTAACTCACTCTTTCATTTATTCAACAGATATTTATTGAACATTGTGCCAAGTGTTGGAAATAAAATGTTAAACACAAAAGACACAGTCCCTGCTTAATCATCCTAAAAATCTAGTTTTCAGGCATTCGGAACCAGAATACTTTTATTTAAATGAAATTTATGCACAGTTCCAATATTTAAAAGAGATGAATGCAAAATACTTCAACTGAAGTGGAAGCAGTGAATCCTGTTCGTTGACCCCTCCTCCAATATTTTCTTCTGGCAACACACACACACATACACACACACACACACACGCAGACACACACGCACACAAGCAATGCAGACGCACACACGTACACATGCACATGCACACACACGGGCACAGACACACACATGCGCATGCACACACACATGTGCATGGACACACACGCACACACACGTGCATGGACGCGCACAGACACACACACGCACACACACGCACACGTGCACGCACAAGCACACACACGCTCACATGCATGTGCACACGCACACAAGCGCACGCACACAAGCACACACACGCACGTACATGCACACATGGGACATAGAGAATCATCACAAAAATTAGGGATTTAAAAATTCTTGTTTTTATTAAAGGACTACATAGTATTTATGATTATTTCTAATTTTCAGATTTGATAATAAAAAGGTTGTTACATGTAATGGTCACATGCTCAACTCCAGAGTCTCATTAATTTTGAATTAAATAGTCATTCTCTAAAAATATCGAAATATATTTACATTTTATTTCATTTATTTGATCACATTCTTTGATCACAATTAATAAAATCTTAAGCCAATTAACCATAAAAATTTTAATTGATGTTTTTACAGATTGCATAGTAAATCTAAACTATTTTGATTTCTTAATGATAAAAAATTTGGTGAAAGCTAATTTGTGAACATCAATTTCAGCAATAAATATTGGTTCTATATAAGAAGAAATCTGTGGGTAATTGGTCCATTATGTTTAATAAAATAATTTAATGGAGGCACAGAATAAATTATAGTGAAATTTAATATTCTAATTAATGTCTGTGTCTTATACTTGTTTATTTAACAAAAACAGAAAAAGACAGTGAGTTACTGTTTATTATAATGTGTAGGCGTTCATATTCTTATGTCCTTTTCCTCTTTTCCCTTTCTTACATCAGAGGAAATGGTATAATCTTAATATTTCAGAGCTTAGGTCAGGACTAGACAGGAAAGCAAAATTATCTGAATAAATAACAGCTTTCCACCAAATGTCACTATGGAAACACAAGAATGAATGTTTCCATAGGAACTCTAAGCCTCCCTACTATACTTAATGATGGTATCTATTTATGGTAATACTAATTTTTGTTGTTTTTATCATATAGAACAAAAATAAGAGGTACTCATGATAGAAGAGTTGAGGCCATAAATGTTTCATGAGTATGACCTAAGGAGAATCTATTCATCCATCCAGCCAGTCATCTATCTGTGCATGTATTCGATAAATAGTGTCTCCTGGTTTTGCCAGGCACTATTCTATGTCCCTGGGGTACAGTAGTCAATAAGAAAGATAAAACTTCTAAGCCTTGAAAATTTAATATTTGTAAGAGTAATTTAAAAATAGAATGAAATCAAACATAATTCAATTGTCTGGTTCCACATATGGCTAAGAGCTCAGAATTAATGACACAATTTTGGGTATATTAAGTATGCACTCAAGACATTTTATTTTTTTTTTTCCAGCATCTCCATCAAACTAACCTATTTACCCTAATTGCTTACTTAAGTACCTACCTACTCCTCAAAACCAGGGCTGTTTGTCAGAAATATCATTTTCTCTCCTCTTTTCCAAATGCCCCTAATGTTATATGTTAACATTTCTTTACCTTATTTTCTGAAATAATATTGCTGTTTGGTTAATTTTTCACTTTTTCACTAGAATGTGAAGTTTGAGATGGGTGGTGATATGGGATCCCAGGAATAATAAGGAGGAATGCTATACTTTCAAGGCTGATCTAGGACATTTGCTGGAAAAATGGAGAATAATGTTAAGAATTGCCCTTGACTGCAATCATGATTACTATGTTTCAAGTGCAATTTGTGTAGGCGTTAGAGGAATATGTGTGGATTAAGTATAACAACCCAGGATATTTTCAATAGAAGCCTGTAATATCTTAGAATTTATTGTTTTCCCTTCTATTTGTAAAAATAATAGTTAACACTCATTTAGTGCTTATAATGTGTCGGGCATGTTTAAATGATTTTTATATATTAATTATTTTTCACAATATCCCTAAAAATTAGGTCCTTTTGATTTCTATTTTACTGCAGAGAAAAATTAGGCATAGAGCTACCAAAAGTCATGTAGATATTAAATCGCAGAATAATAACCAAATCCAGGCATATTGGCTTGAGAATCTTTGTTCTAATGGCTATGTATACTGCTTCTCTCCCTGTGAAGTTAAATAAGAAAAAGGTGGAAAGAAAAAGGAAAAGGAACAATTATATTAGTTGAGTGTCCCCTCTGTGTGAAACTCTTTAAAATGCATTTTCTGATTTAATGCTCATAGTAATATCATAAATTTATTTTACTATTCTTATTTTTAAAGTTAGAGAACTGAAACTTGGAAAGGTCACATAATTTGCCTAAAGAGACATTGCTAGAAGTTAGAAGAATTAGTATTAAAACTCATGATTGCAAAGTCTGATCTTATCATCACAGTATCTTGGGGTCCCAACAAATGGAGGAAAGGGTTTTTTTTCTTATGTATCATCCCCTTCATCTGCATTTTCTGCCTAGCCCCGGAATCCCTTTCTTATTGATATACATATAAAATGAATTATGGATCTAATGGTAAACTAGGCTAATAATTGTTCTTCTTGAAGTTCTCTAAATGGAAAACATGATACCATATACTTTTCTCTCAAAGAAGCACGCTTTGACCAAGTGTATCATGGTATTTAAACTACAGGCCATTGACTAATTCCAGTGCTATGCTTAGTGTTCATCAGTGTAGGCCACTTTATCGTAAGCCATTTATATGTACCGGGAGGCATATTTTACTTCTATATTTTGCAAGGACACATTATGGTTAATTGACTCTACATGACTAAAATTAAAGATATGTTCTCTTAAGAACTCAGTTTGGCAGTCAGAAAGAAATCAAATAAACAGAGATTGGCAAAAGTTAACTTTCATTTCTACCTGTTAAATGCACAGTAAGTTGTTATATAGTGACAATGCTTTTCTTCTGTGTCTTCTTGGACACTAGAAAATAAACCCATAAAGGAAACTTGAACTGGGATTCAACTTTCAGTACTCATAACTGAGTAAAGTTGAGTATGCTTCAAGGGAAAAAAAGAAAAAGAAAATAAATACCTTCTTTATATTAAAATATGTTTTTATCTCGCTGATTTCTAAAGGCATATTAACAGTACAATTTTGAAAGTTTACTTTCTCTCTCTCACACACACAAATACAGGAAGATACATGAACACACACTCTTCTATAAAGCGATAATATGTACCCCAAAAGCCTAAACTCTTATTTGAATTTTGCAGGTTCACCACTGGAACATGAAGCTTTATCTGAATGACAAAGTATAAGGGTCTCCTTGCTCTACAAAGGTTACTTTTAAAATAGAACTAACATTTGGGCAGATATTATATTTTTCTCCAGCATCATGCATTGAATTTCCAAGGGGAACAACCATTTTTTTTAAGTTATTCTCAACAACATCGTTTACTGGCACACCATAATCCTTCTATATTACTGAAGACAAATCATTTCCAGACATGTCTAATAAGAGAGAGTCACTCATCTATAATAGTTACAAAGCCTATTGATATCTTGACATTTTATTTTCATTACTTGCGAATATGCCCTCCACTAACTGAGCAAGGCCACCTCCCACCACAAAGGTTAACTTGTTTTTCTTGGACTAGAGTTAATGTAGCCTGTGAACCCATGATTCATATCTGTGAAAGATAGAGATTGAAAGAGGCTGGTCACAACTAATTGTGATGAGACAGGCAACTATGTCATCAAGACCACAGTCCACAACTCATTTCTGGAGGCAGTGAGGTAATTTTAATGAAGATAATGTAATTGCAGAAAGAAATATTTTTCTGACCTCCTTATTTCATGGCAGTGGATACATCTGGGATTCTCAAAGGGATTCTCAAGCCATAGGAAGCACTCTGAGTGGCAATTTCCCGAAATCTTTAGAGAATTAAGAATCTCTAAGACATATCAAAGCATATACATTTATTATATCTGTAAAATTTTATGATATATTCTACATGCCTGACAATCAGTATTTGTAGCTTTTTAATATGTGTCTCTGTTTGCATTTGCCGATTGTGATTTTTCTTCTTACTCACTACACTTGTATCTCAATGACTTTTTACAGTTTCTAAAAATGAAAAACACTCTTATAAGTAATAATTTACTATCAGTAAAGGATATCAAAGACCCCAAAGCAGCTGGAGTTGTCCCAAACTTTTTTAAAAGGAAAAAATACCAGTGTCATTGGAATAGATGCATAGTTGACTAAGGAAACTACTTTAAGGACATAAAGAATTTGTACCTAAAATTTCTAAAAATTTGGTAAAGAATTTGACCACATTACCTTAAATCTTAGCATGTCTTAGCTTGATTCATTCTCAGTCAGTTTATCAGCCTTTCTCTGAAAGTCATTTCAATTCCATAGATATTCTCTCGGTAATAATCAAAAGATAACTCTGAAGCTTGCCTTCCTAATGCTGGTAATTGCTTGTTCTGCTCATGACTGAACTTTGTGTTCTTGAATTTTTCATCTGATTTTGCAGCCTTATTTTTTGATATTTGAAATGATGAACGCCAGGGAAAGAGTGACCTATATGACCATAAGCATAAACTGTAAGATCCTTAAATTGCTTTTAAATCATCATATTTCAGACTACAGGTCTGATTCAGCACCTAGCCGTCAAGGAAAGTTGACTGTGGCCTGTAAGCATCATTGGTATGGAAGGCTTCTCTTATCTGGAGTGTAGTACTTTGGAAATACTGCTTCAGGTTATTTTGCCAGAATACATAGAAATCAATGTTGGGATCCCAAGCAAGAGGAAAAATACTCTTCCTTGAAAATACTAAATTTTCATGCATGCATGTGGCTTTGCATGTCAGGGGACAGATCAGAATCTTTATCATAATTGTTTATTTTCTTTCAACTAACTAATAAGTTCCTGAATATAAGGTGTTGCCAACAATCTATCACACAGGTTTTCAATCACTGGTCTCACATTCTACAAATAAATACCAATTCTTTTGGAGAGGTAAATTCATGACAGCATTTAGTTATCATTATTTTCTGTGAAACTAAGAATGAGTAACCATCAGAAGCATTCTTAATGGTAAACAGAGGAAAATTGTGAATTATAGGACACATCTATCGTGAACAACCATGTAATTATAATTTTTTAAATTTTTTCTTCAAGAATTATGAATTTGATAACTCTCCAAGACATAAGCCAAACTGTTACCAAAAAAAGGTCCTAATTCAGACTCCAAGACAGGGTTCTTGGATCTCACACAAGAAGACATTCCAGGCGAATCCATAAAGTGGAAGCAAGTTTATTAAGAAAGTAAAGGAATAAAGACTGGCTCCTCCATAGGCAGAGCAACCCTGGGGGCTGCTGGTTGCCCATTTTTATGGTTATTTCTTGATTATATGCTAAAGAAGGAGTGGATTATTCATGCCTCCCTTTTTTAGACTATATAAGGGTAACTTCCTGACATTGCCATGGCATTTGTAAACTGTCATGGCACTGGTGGGAGTGTCTTTTAGCATGCTAATGTATTATAATTATCATGTAATGAGCAGTGAGGATGACCAGAGGTCACACCCATAGCCATCTTGGTCTTGATGGGTTTTGGCCAGCTTCTTTACTACAACCTGTTTATCAGCAAGGTCTTTATGACCTGTATCTTGTGCCAACCTCCTATGTCATCCTGCGACTTAGAATGTCCAGCCTCCTGGGAATACAGCCCAGCAGGTCTCAGCCTTATTTTACCCAGCCCCTATTCAAGATAGAGTCACTCTGGTTCAAACCCCTCTGACAAAACCACTCAAATGCACTTGGCTATCAAGTGATATTTGACTAACCTTAACATTTAATTCTACCCCAAAATGCTACCTTGTAAGATAATTTTCTGCAAATATCTGGTGTATATCTTAGTTTATACTACAGGAGAGAGGAATGTTTTTATGGTATGTCTCCTACAGGGCAAATTTATTATGGGACTTGAGATACTGTGATGTTTGAGAAAAGGAAGAGGAATAAATGATGGAAAATACATTCACATTTTACTTCAGGTAAAACATTCTTCAACACCTTTTTGGTATTTGGCACATTTTTGTAAGATAATTCTTACTACATTGAATGTTCATGTCTAAGTTTTCATAAGATCATTTCCAACCTTCAAAAATATCAAACTCATTTAAATTATTTTTTCTGTAGCTTGAATTTGAATGTTCTTTATTGCTTTCATCATGAGGAAAACTCGTGTTAAACATTTCTATTTCTTTATGTGTAATACATAAACCCATGAGAGATAAACCCAAAGATAAAGGATTTTGTTGTAATCCATTCCAAAGGTTGTCAGATTTATTATAATAAGTTATGCTAAAATAGAAATCTATTTTCACTGTTTACCTTTTTCATAAAAATACCCTGTCTTCTCAATAAGAATTAAATCCTGAAGAGTAGATTGATGATCTTATTGGAGATCTTATTAAAGGGCAGTCAGACATGGGTATGTCTCTTCTCAATACATCACACTCTTCTCAATACATCATTAAGCCACGCATTAAGCTATGTTTTAATGCATCTACAATAAGTCATTCAGGTGTTGAGGATTATGTCAGAGTCTGTTTATGCCCTGCCCAGTTCCCCCTGGCTACGTTGAAGCACCATCCCTGGCTGCTGCCAGTGTTCACTGCTGATGCCTCTCAGATGCACACATCTCTGGAGGATTGTCTTGGGCTGCCAGGTGCAGCCTTGCCTGGTGATCCCTGGAAGGTTATGCACTCCCACTCTGGGGATGAGATGCAGCCATTAATTAACCAATGTAGGGATGTGACAGTTTAGCCTCCTTGCTTTGGGCAGTAGAAAATGTGATGCAACTCATGCTCCAGAGCTCCCTAGGGCATCAGGCTGAGTTTGACTTCCCCTAAAATCACATCTTTTTCTAGCTTCTTCCCCTCACTCTCCTCCTTTCCTCATTCACTTATGGATGTTTCTTGAGAGTAACTTGAAGCCACTATGAATACTCTACTCTCTAGCAAAGTGAGCGTAATCCCTGCAGCAGATTTAAAGAAAGAAGATGGGAGCATGAGGACACAAGGCATCTAGTGGTGGATGCACGGATTTAAGGGTTGAGGAAGGTTAAAATCAGTATATATGTTTTTTAGGCTTTCTGAGGTTAATGTAATTTTTGCATTTACTATTGTCTATATAACCCTCCTTTCCCTTACTGTATAATAAACAATAATAAGTGGAATAAACTTATCCATATTGTTTCCAGGGATGGCCACATAAATAATTTTTGTGTTTTTCTGTTAGTTAGAAGCCAGAATCATAAAGTAGCCACCATTTTCCTGAGAGTGTATTTCTCTGCTTTTCCCAGAGGATGCTGCCTGAGCAGGCTGTCATTGTAGAGAGATTCTTGGGATCTGGAAGCTACATTAACTACTTCAAACCCTTTGGGTATTATTTAGTACAATTTAGGACTAGTCTTAGCAAATTCCAAACTGGTGAATTACTCTTAGTTGTACACTAGAGACCTGAAAGAGTTAACGCAAGCGTGTCTCCTGAACAGGAGAGCAGCTGGCACCCCAGAAGAAGCTAGCTCAGCATGTGCGGGTCGTAAGTTCCAGAACAGGACAGAGCCGCCTTGACACTTTTTGAGCATGGAGTGATTGTGGCTGGCTTCATCACGTTCCCTCCTTTGTGCCATGGAAACGTGTCTTACTAAATGATTATCTTGATGTCTGATGGAATTAATGGAGTTTCCATTTATTTAGAAATGGATGAGACACTGTCCTAGTCTGAACCTGTGATCCAAAAAGGAAGATAAATTATTTCCACCTTTAAACAAAATCTAGTGTATTTTGAAGCTTAATGCAAAACATTTGTATTATTAGTTTGCTAGAACTGCCATAAAGAACATCTCACAGAATGGCTCAAACAACAGAAACTTATTGCCTCGTGGTTCTGGAGGCTAGAAGACTGAAATCAAGGTCATCAGGGTTGGTTTGCCTTGAGAGCTGTGAGGGGAAAATCTGTTCCATGCCTCTCTCCTGCTTCTGGTATGTTGCTGGCAGTTTTTGGTGTTCCTGGGCTTGTAGAAATATCACTCGTTCATTGCCTTCATGGTCACCTCACATTCTCCCAGTGTGCACACATGCCTCCAAATTTCCCCCTTTTATGACACCAATCATATTGGATTAGAGCACACTCTAATCATTTTATTTTCATTTGATTATCTCTATAAAGATCCTATCTCCAAATAAGATCACATCCTGAAATACTGGGGATTAGAACTTCAACATGTGAATTTTGAGGGACACAGTGCAATCCATAACAGCATTATTTAAAGATAATTTTGGGTTGGCTGATGTTATGGTTTGAAGTCACTTTGTCACTGTTCTCAATACATCAATATTCTGCTTTCAAGTCAGAGGCACAACCTCAAATTGTCTACATGGACCTGGCAAGTGGCTCAAATAAGCCAGGTGTAATAAAGCAAAACAAAAAACATAAACAAAATGCACCATCTTTATTAAATGAGAGTTGACATTTGTTCTCAGGAGATTTAATTAAAGCAGTCTCACTTTGCTCACTGCAACTCCACCTCCCAGGCTCAAGCATTCTCCTGCTTCAGCCTCCTGAGTAGCTGGGATTACAGGTGTTCACTACCATGCCTGGCTAATTTTTGTATTTTTAGTGGAGACACAGTTTCACCATGTTGGCCAGGCTGGTTTCGAACTCCTTGACCTCAAATGAACTGCCCACCTCAGCCTTCCAAAGTGCTGGGATTACAGGGGTGAGCCACCACACCTGGCCAAATTAGTCTGTTTTTAAGTATCTTATTGGTTCACAGGAGTAGTTACATATACTCAATCATTATGGCATGTCTTTGTAAGTTATTATTTTTTGTTTATTAGATGTTGTAAACTATCCCATTATATAATTTAAATGTGATACAAATTGACTGCAATTACAACTGAAATTTTTAAACAGATGAAAGATTTCATGAAGTCAATATAAGTGATGTTGATAAGAATATGGATTAGTTCAATCCATTGATTAAAAAAGAATAGAAAATTGACAAGTAGAACTGGTTCTTCTATAGAGACTAATTTGCATGTCTAAGGGACAAACAGAGTTCCTTGGGGAAATTGATAACATGTATCAATACTTTTCTTTTTTAAAAATGACACTCTTTATGACTGGACTGTGAAAGTCAAATGTTAAGTATGAACTTCATGATGTCATATAATTTTGTCAAAAATTATAAATCTACAATAATTCATACCTTATTATATGATTATAGTTTGAAATTATATGATTAATTTGAATAAATATGAGGTAAAACAAAGTAATTTACCATGATTTATATTTTATTTGGTAATATAACATTTTTTTCAGATTTAACTGTGAAATTTTGTATCTTGTTTTAAACTGATTTACTTAGAAAAATTATTTGTAAATGCTACCAAAAGGTTCCTGGAACTAATAAACAAATTCAGCAGTTTCAAGATACAAAATCAATGTATAAAAGTCAGTAGCATTTCTATATACCAGTAATGTTCAAGTTGAGAGCCAAATCTAGAACACAATCCCAGCAACAACAGCCAAACAAAAAGTAAAATATTTAGGAATACATCTAACCAAAGAGATAAAAGATCTTTACAAGGAGAACTACAAAACACTACAAAAAGAAATCATAGATGATGGTAACAAATCGAAAAAAAATCATGCTCATGTACTGGAAGAATCAATACCACTAAAATGGTCATATTACCCAAAGCGATCTATAGTTCAATACTATTTCTATCAAATTGCCAATGTCATTTTTTTCACAGAACTGGAAAAAACTAATCTAAAATTTATATAGAATCAAAAAGAAAAAAAAGCCCACATAGCCAAAGGAATCCTAGGAAAAAAAGAACAAAGCCAGAGGCATCACATTACCTGACTTCAAACTATACTACAAGGTTACAGTAAATGAAACAGCATGGTACTGGATCAAAAATAGGCACAGAGACCAATGGAACAGAATGGAGAATCCAGATAAAGGTGCACATCTATAGCCACCCAATCTTTAACAAAATCAACATAAATAAGCAATGAAGAAACACTTCCTATTTAATAAATGGTGCTGGGATAACTGGCTAGCCATTTGCAGAAGAATGAAACTGTACCCCTACATTTCACCATATACAAAAATTAACTCAAGATGGATTAAAGATTTAAATGTAAGACCTCAAACTGTAAGAATCCTGAAGAAAGCCTTGGAAACACCATTCTGGACATAGGCCTTGGGAAATCATTTATAACTAAGTCCTCAAAAGCAATTGTAACAAAAACAAAAATTGACATGTAGGACCTAATTAAACTAAAGAGCTTCTGCACAGCAACAGAAACTATCAACAGTGTAAACAGATAATCTACAAAATGGGAGAAAATATTCACAAACTATGCATCTGAGGGAGGTCTAATATCTGGACTCTATAAAGACATGAACTGACACTTCTTGAGGGAAGACATATAAGCAGCAACAAACATGAGAAAATGATCATCACTAATCATCAGAAAAATGCAAATTGAAACCATAATGAGATACCATCTGTATTAGTTATTTCTCACATCTCTATAAAGAACTGCCCAACACTGGGTAATTTATAAAGAGAAGAGGTTTAATTGACTCACAGTTATGCAGGGCTGGGAAGGCCTCAGGAAACTTACAATCATAGCAGAAGAGGAACAGACATGTCCTACTGCATATGACCGCAGGAAGGTGAAGTGCAGAGCAAAGTGGGAGGAAAACCTTTATAAAACCATCAGATTTTGTGAGAACTCACTCACTATCATGAAAACAGCATGGAAGTAACCATCCCCGTGACTCAATTACCTTTCGCTGGGTCCCTCCCCCAACACATGGGGATTACGGGAATTACAATTCAAGATGAGATTTGGGTGGAGACACAGCCAAACCATACCATTCTGCCCATGACCCTCACCAAATCTCATGTCCTCACATTTCAAAACACAATCATGCCTTCCCAACAGTCCCCCAATGTCTTAACGCATTTCAGCATTAACTCAAAAGTCCAAGTTCAAAGTCTTATCTGATACAAGACAAGTCCCTTCTACCTATGAGCCTGTAAAATCAAAAGCAAGTTGGTTACTTTTTACATACAATGGGGGACAGGCATTGGGTAACTATATCCCTTTCAAATGGGAGAAATTGGCCAAAACAAAGGGGCTACAGGATCCATGCAAGTCCAAAATTCAATAGGGCAGTCATTAAATCTTAAAGCTCAGAAATAATCTCCTTTGAATTAATGTCTCACATTCAGGTCACGCTGACACGAGAGGTGGGCTCCCAGGCCTTTCAGCAGTTCCACCCCTGTGGCTTTGCAGGGTACATCTGCCCTACTGGCTGCTTTCATGGGCTGGCATTGAGTGTCTGTGGCTTTTCCAGGTGCACAGTGAAAGCTGTCTGTGGATCTACAATTCTGGGGCCTGGAGGATGGTGGCCCTCCTCTCACAGCTCTGTTAGGCAGTGCCCCAGTAGGAACTGTGTGGGGGGGCTCCAACACCACATTTATCTTCTGCACTGCCCTAGCAGATGTTCTCCATGAGGGCTATTTCATAATGGTGCTGGGAAAACTGACTAGCCATATGCAGAAAACTGAAACTGGACCCCTTCCTTAGACCTGATACAAAAATTAACTCAAAATGGATTAAAGACTTAGACATAAGACCTAAAACCATACAAACCCTAGAAGAAAACCTAAGCAATACCATTCAGGACATAGGCATGGGCAAAGACTTCATGACTTAAACACCAAAAGCAATGGCAACAAAAGCCAGAACTGACAAATGGGATCTAATCAAATTAAAGAACTTCTGCACAACAAAATAAACTAGCACAAGCATGAACAGGCAATCTGCGGAATGGGAGAAAATTTTGCAATCTACCCATCTTACAAAGGTCAAATATCGAGAATCTACAAGGAACTTAAACAAATTTACAAGAAAAAAAACAACCCCATCAAAAAGTGAGCAAAGGATATGAACAGACACTTCTCAAAAGAAGACATTTATGTGGCCAACAAACATATGAAAAAAAGCTCATCATCACTGATCATTAGAGAAATGTAAAACAAAGAATGGTGATTATTAAAAAGTCAGGAAACAACAGATGCTGGAGAGGATGTGGAGAAATAGGAACACTATTGCCCTGTTGGTGGGAGTGTAAATTAGTTCAACTACTATGGAAGACAATGTGGCGATTCCTCAAGGATCTAGAACTAAAAATACCGTTGACTCAGTGATCCCATTACTGGGTATATACCCAAAGGATTATAAATCATGCTACTATAAAGACACATGCACATGTATGTTTATTGTGGCAATATACACAATAGCAAAGACTTGGAACCAACCCAGATGCCCATCAATGATAGACTGGATAAAGAAAATGTGGCACATATACACCGTGAAATACTATGCAGCCATAAAAAAGAATGAGTTCATGTTCTTTGCGGGGACATGGATGAAGCTGGAAGCCATCATTCTCAGCAAACTAACACGGGAACAGAAAACCAAACACCGAATGTTCTCACTCATAAGTGGGAGTTGAACAGTTTGAACACATGGACACAGCGAGGGGAACATCACACACCAGGGCTTGTCAGGGGGTGGGGGCCAAGGGGAGGGAGAGCATTAGTACAAATACCTAAAGCATGTGGGGCTTAAAACCTAGATGACTGGTTGATAGGTGCAGCAAACCACCATGGCACATCTATACGTATGTAACAAACCTGCATGTTCCGCACGTGTATCCCAGAACTTAAAGTAAAATGAAAAAATAGAGGTAATAGTTGTAGGCTTTTAAAAGATAAGCTGATAAAGAAATCTGCTTATGGAGATATTTTATTATTGTTAAGTGTTTGATATTGTACCATATGTTTATGATGTCTTGTTACTGCTTGATGATTTTTAATTTTTTTTAAAAAATTTAAATATTAGGTAAATAGGAAAAGGTATAAAAAAGTAACATGCCAATGTACTCAACACCTATATCTAACAGATATTTACACATGGCTGTATTTGCCCTTGGTTGACTTTTTTCTCAGAAGTTGGTATTTCTGATCCACCTTAAAAGACGTTCTCTTTACTTTTCACCACCTCGTTGCACAGAAGTGTCCTCATGCTGAAGTATATATGCTCTTAGGTATTTGTATCAGTTTCCTAGGGCTGCCAAGGCAAATTATCAAAAACTGGGTGATTCAAACAACAAAAATGTATTCTTCCACAGTTCAGGAGGGCGGAAATACAAAATCAAGGTGTCAACAGCGTTGGTTTCTTTTGGCGGCTCTGAGAAGTATCTGTCCTATGCCTCTCTCTAATCTCCCGGTGGTTAACAGCATCCCTTGGTATTACCTTGGCTTATAGATGCCAAGGACTTGAGATTGAGATCACCTCAATCGCTGCCTCTGACATAGCATGGCCATCACCCTCATGTGTCTGTATCTCTGTGTCTTCCCATGATCTTCTTGTAAGGAAGAACACTCAACATAGATTAGGAACCACCCTAATTCAGTATGACCTCATCTTAACTAAGTACACTTGCAATGACCCTGTTTTTAAGTAAGGTGACATTCTGAGGTTCTGGATGAACATGATTTTGTGGGGACACTATTTAATCCGTAGAACATGTTTTAAATTTCTTTTAATAGATAGGTATGCAATTATTAACAACTCATAATATAAATTTAATGTGCTTTCAAATATACTTAAATGTCCTTTTGCAAAATTTTTGCTCTTGTATTTTAAACTTCAGCAAGTTGATACATGTATATCAGTTGCATTAATTTCAATTAATATGTATTTCATTTTCTGAATAAAATAGGTTATCAATCAATGCTGTTATTAATGAAAATATCGCTTCCAAGTTTTGTCCCTACAAACTGTACTGCAAAAAATCCTCATTCATGTTTCACTTTATACACCAGTAAAAAGTCTCTAGATTAGATATCTATGAAAAAAATAGGGGGGTCAGAAGATAAACAAATTCTGTCTTTCTAGAGCTACACAAAGACTACATTTTCAGCCTTTCTCATATTTAGATTGAAGTCACATGACAAAGTTCTGACAGAGAAATGTGAGTGACTTGTAAAATGCCTCTGGAGCCTCTGTGCTTTTACTCCCTCATCCCCACAGTGGAAAGCAAAAGACCAACATGGCAAGGCCACCAAATTGAAGAAGCGTGTGCCACTCAACAGCCACTTAAGAGTAGACCTCCCAGGAGAGTTGCCTGATCGAAGATATCCACATTTTTTTGGCATTTAAGTCACTGAGATTTGGGGGTTGCAGAGCAGCTAGCATTATTTATGCTAACTAGTACATAATTGGCACTTTAGGATGAGAGACTGCCCTAATGAAAGTCTAGGTAACAAGGATACTGTTAACAAAGCCTGGGGAGTTGGGGATCTGTGTTGGCAAAGCTTTTAGTACAATTGTTGCCTTCAGAAACTTGGACAGCTGCTCATGTTCTGACTTAGCTTGTGTGTGTAGGGGAGGTAGATGGAAAAAAGAAACTTCTGTGCACGTGGACTGGCTACTATTGATTTTATTACAAGTAAAATATGATCATAGCAATGAAGTGGCTGATTTACAGGAAGTAACTGAAGAGTTACCCTAAAACTATGGAGTCTTGCAAGGTTGGAAAAGCCTACCATCTCCATGTTCTTAATAAGAGGAGTTGGAATTTAGATATATTTTTAACTAGTAAGGCCCTAATTTTATCAGTTTAATAAAATTATTTAGGCTAATGATAAAATCAACAGCTGGGCTTCCCAACCAATTGTTTTTCAAGATAGACAAAATGTAAAGAGAGAGGAAGAGAGGGAAAAAAAAGAATAAACATTACTAGATACTGGCACACTGAATAACTATAAGCAAAGAGATCAGAAGTTTATGGAGTTTTTGAGGAAGCTGTATTTTTGAAGAATCTTCAAACTCTGGACTAAAAACATTGCATTTGCAGCTTCAAGAGTTAAACTTCTTTTGAGCTACCAAACTTCCATGAAGAGGGGGTAAGTTTTCTGGTTGTTAAGACTACAAAAGGGCATGCACCCACACTTCTTGAATAATGAACAGTAAGTACATCCAGAGATCATGGAAAACAATGCACCAAGAAGCTATTTCGATGAAAACTAATCTTGTTTTCTGTTGCTGTACTGTCTCCCATTAGAAGCACATGGCTTGGTTCTGCCAGTTGCATGTATGCAGAGCTTTTATATGCCACCTCCTGGCCTCACTCCAGGAACTTCCTGTGTGACCTTCCGTACTGTATTCTCCATCTGTGCAGCTAGACTAGAAGCACTCTGTGTTGGAGGAGCCACAGGATACAGATGCCAAGTGTCCTTTGTCACACTATGTAGGAGAGCTACCAGGAGTGTAGTCCTATGAGGAACATTTGTGTAAGACTTGTTATGGGATTTGAACACTGTTGCAATAACTGGCATTAATTAACTTGTTTAACCCTCACATTGCCAATCTTCCTAGAACTTACAGATTGACCTCCAAAATAACTATATTGATTTATATAGTTCACTCACTCAGGGTGATATCAGACTTTTTCATGTATGATAATCTTATTGGAGCTGTTTACCCTTTCTATGTAGATGTGCATACCCTACATTTACGGGACATTTTCTTAAATTATTTTTTCTTCCTCTTTAATTTTTACATTCTTTCTTTTTTTGGAACTGTTTTCCCCCAGTGCATTCTGTATAATTTCCTTATATTGTTGCATAGTTAGTCTCTTTTCAAATGTTTAATATGCAGCTTAACTCATTCACTGGAGTATTTAAAAAAATTGTAATGGCTCTATATTTTGTTCATAAGAATTATATATTTTTTCTTTTTCATTATATATCCATTCTATTTTCACAATGCCCTTTTCTTTTCATATGTCACTTTAAAACTTACTTTCTATTTTTAATAATTTTGGCCAAAGGTATTTTTATAGTCTTTGGATTTTAAACTTCAAGTATAATTTTACTATTTTTGTGCCTGCTTAGTTTCACTTACAGTTTCTTATTTTGTCATCAGTTTTGCCATTTTCTACTTATAATTTTCAGAAGGGAATTTTTTTTTTTTTTGATAAAATAACCTGTAGCCTGTTTTAGGAAGAGTCCCTTTAGACTGATTTTGTATCCCAGAAGTATCACTGGCCTTCTAGAAAAACGTTTGGACCAGAATTTCTCAGCCTAGGTATTCCTGTATCACACACGTAGTACAAATTCAAACTACAAACCTCTTCATTGAGTAGTGATCTCAAGAGACACATTTTTCCTCCATTCAGTAGTTTGGATGATAAAAGACTCTTTGAAACTTCCTTAAGGTATTTCTGGTCCTATGTATATATTGAAATGTTTCTAGCACTCACCTTTACTGGGATTTGAATGTTTTTGTTAAGTGTTGTAGTTTTTGCAGAAATCTCACTTTCAACTTTCTATCTCGTTAGGGATCAATGTTTTGTCTACCTGCTATCTCTGAGGGAGTGCAGAAAGCCAAAAGAAGTATTGAGCATTTGACTACTATACAGAAACATGATAAAAATCTTAATGTAGGAATCCATAACAGGCATTGTGGGGATGTAGCAACAAATTAACAAATTTATAGTTTACACACTACTGTGAAAAATACTGCTCTTTCTCCACAATGCAGCACTTTTGCTTTGGTAAATGTATGCTTGAATTTACTATCTACACACAGACACACACACACACACACACATTAACTATCAGTGTCAACCAAGCCCTCACATTATACTCCCATTCCTGTATGGCAGCTGACACACCTATCTTTCAGACAGTACCATTCAGGGACAGTCTTATTTTAAGGTCCAAGATGCAGATTTGATTGGGGGAAAGGTTCCTTAGAGAGTGAATGAGAAAATCTAGAAGAAATGGATAAATTCCTCGACACATACACCCTCCCAAGACTAAACCAGGAAGAAGTTGAATCTCTGAATAGACCAATAACAGGATCTGAAATTGTGGCAATAATCAATAGCTTACCAACAGAAAAGAGTCCAGGACCAGATGGATTCACAGCTGAATTCTACCAGAGGTACAAGGAGGAACTGCTACCATTCCTTCTGAAACTATTCCAATCAATAGAAAAAGAGGGAATCCTCCCTAACTCATTTTATGAGGCAGCATCATCCTGATACCAAAGCCAGGCAGAGACACAACCAAAAAAGAGAATTTTAGACCAATATCCTTGATGAACATTGATGCAAAAATCCTCAATAAAATACTGGCAAACCGAATCCAGCAGCACATCAAAAAGCTTATCCACCATGATCAAGTGGGCTTCATCCCTGGGATGCAAGGCTGGTTCAATATATGCAAATCAATAAATGTAATCCAGCATATAAACAGAACCAAAGACAAAAACCACATGATTATCTCAATAGATGCAGAAAAGGCCTTTGACAAAATTCAACAACACTTCATGCTAAAAACTCTCAATAAATTAGGTATTGATGGGACATATCACAAAATAATAAGAGCTATCTATGACAAACCCACAGCCAATATCATACTGAATGGGCAAAAACTGGAAGCATTCCCTTTGAAAACTGGCACAAGAGAGGGATGCCCTCTCTCACCACTCCTATTCAACACAGTGTTGGAATTTCTGGCCAGGGCAATTAGGCAGGAGAAGGAAATAAAGGGTATTCAATTAGGAAAAGAGGAAGTCAAATTGTCCCTGTTTGCAGACGACATGATTGTATATCTAGAAAACCCCATTGTCTCAGCCCAAAATCTCCTTAAGCTGATAAGCAACTTCAGCAAAGTCTCAGGATACAAAATCAATGTACAAAAATCACAAGCATTCTTATACACCAACAACAGACAAACAGAGAGCCAAATCATGAGTGAACTCCCATTTACAATTGCTTCAAAAAGAATAAAATACCTAGGAATCCAACTTACAAGGGATGTGAAGGACCTCTTCAAGGAGAACTACAAACCACTGCTCAAGGAAATAAAAGAGGATACAAACAAATGGATTAACATTCCATGCTCATGGGTAGGAGGAATCAATATCGTGAAAATGGCCATGCTGCCCAAGGTAATTTACAGATTCAATGCCATCCCCATCAAGCTACCAATGACTTTCTTCACAGAATTGGAAAAAACTACTTTAAAGTTCATATGGAACCAAAAAAGAGCCCGCATCGCCAAGTCAATCCTAAGCCAAAAGAACAAAGCTGGAGGCATCACACTACCTGACTTCAAGCCATACTACAAGGCTACAGTAACCAAAACAGCATGGTACTGGTACCAAAACAGAGATAAAGATCAATGGAACAGAACAGAGCCCTCAGAAATAACGCCGCATATCTACAACTATCTGATCTTTGACAAACCTGAGAAAAACAAGCAATGGGGAAAGGATTCCTTATTTAATAAATGGTGCTGGGAAAACTGGCTAGCCATATGTAGAAAGCTGAAACTGGATCCCTTCCTTACACCTTATACAAAAATTAATTCAAGATGGATTCAAGACTTAAACGTTGGACCTAAAACCATAAAAACCCTAGAAGAAAACCTAGCCATTACCATCCAGGACAGAGGCATGGGCAAGGACTTCATGTCTAAAACACCAAAAGCAATGGCAACAAAAGACAAAATTGACAAATGGGATCTAATTAAACTAAAGAGCTTCTGCACTGCAAAAGAAACTACCATCAGAGTGAACAGGCTACCTACAAAATGGGAGAAATTTTTCGCAACCTACTCATCTGACAAAGGGCTAATATCCAGAATCTACAATGAACTCAAACAAATTTACAAGAAAAAAACAAAAAACCCCATCAAAAAGTGGGCAAAGGACATGAACAGACACTTCTCAAAAGAAGACATTTATGAAGCCAAAAGACACATGAAAAAATGCTCATCATCACTGGCCATCAGAGAAATGCAAATCAAAACCACAATGAGATACCATCTCACACCAGTTAGAATGGCAATCATTAAAAAGTCAGGAAACAACAGGTGCTGGAGAGGATGTGGAGAAATAGGAACACTTTTACACTGTTGGTGGGACTGTAAACTAGTTCAACCATTGTGGAAGTCAGTGTGGCGATTCCTCAGGGATCTAGAACTAGAAATACCATTTGACCCAGCCATCCCATTACTGGGTATATACCCAAAGGACTATAAATCATGCTGCTATAAAGACACAGGCACACGTATGTTTATTGTGGCACTATTCACAATAGCAAAGACTTGGAACCAACCCAAATGTCCAACAATGATAGACTGGATGAAGAAAATGTGGCACATATACACCATGGAATACTATGCAGCCATAAAAAATGATGAGTTCATGTCCTTTGTAGGGACATGGATGAAATTGGAAATCATCATTCTCAGTAAACTATCGCAGGGACAAAAAACTAAACACCGCATGTTCTCACTCATAGGTGGGAATTGAACAATGAGAACACATGGACACAGGAAGGGGAACATCACACTCTGGGGACTGTTGTGGGGTCGGGGGAGTGGGGAGGGATAGCATTAGGAGATATACCTAATGCTAAATGACGAGTTAACGGGTGCAGCACACCAGCATGGCACATGTATACATATGTAACTAACCTGCACGTGGTGCACATGTACCCTAAAACTTAAAGTATAATAATAATAATAAATAAATAAATAAATAAATAAATAAATAAATAAATAAATAAATAAAGAGACAGTGAATGACTGTTCTTTATAACAGCAGACAATCCCTTACTGGTCCACTATGCTTGTGGGAGGAAAGGCACCATGCATCAGAAATCTCCTTCCAAGTACCTTTTGAATATTTCACAATGAAGAGCTAAGGATGTTCTTGCTGGAGACTCACTCTCCCTGATCTGAGTGAAAACCAAAGTGTGTGTATGTGTGTATGTGAGTACATGAGGTAATGGGGGGAGAGGGAAGTAGTAGGTGTCTTTTATACTTGAAAAACTGCATTTTGTTCCCGTCTGTCAAATTCATCTTTCCTCTTAATTAATTTCCCCTAGTCAGTTAGTGTAGGCATATAGGAAATACAGACCAGAATTGATTTTTAATATTGTTTACTATTTTAACTAGATTTTTTACTATCATGGAGCAAAATCAAGGTTCAACATGTAAATCAAACATCGTATCAAAAATGAATCCCTGTCTAGTCTCTAGAAGACATTTGAGAGTTTGTATTTTCAAGTAATTAATTCTTCTAGATAAAATTATCTTGACCTCTGTTTTACCTGTCATTAGGCTATAGCAGTCTGAAACTCACCTCAAGGCTTTGCATAGAATTTTACATTTTATGATTTGTTGAAACTAAGGCTCATGAATTTATATTAGTCTATGTAGCCCACCTACTAGGAAATCATGAGTTTGTGAAGGCATATGGTTTGGGGTACTTATGTTCATAAACATTTTAAATATTAAAGTATTTTTAAATGATTAATCAAGAAATAATGTCAAAATAATTTAAATGATTTAAGTTATTTCCATTAATTTAATTTAAATAACCAACATGACTCCTTTTGGAATTACCTTACTCTGAATAAGTAGGTTAACTGCAAACAAACAAAAATAAATCAGACTATCTACTTGCTATTGCAAGAAGGAGGAGGAAGTGCCATTAGGAAAATGAACTAAGCAGTGATGACCTCTGCCTTTGGCTAGCAGCACCTTCGGGTGATGTCAGTTCCTATGGAAATAAATTAAGACAACTACAGGCTGTGTTTCAGAATAAATTTTATTTAACTTGGTCCCTAGATACCTCATCTCACTATAGTAGCAATCATTTTATTTACTGCATTGCAGAGTAAAGTGAAGTTAAAATAAGGAAATGTATCTCTTCATATCAAAAGCAGATTCTTATACTTTCTTGCACTGGATTACTTAAAATATATGATACAAAGATATATTATCTAAAATGGTTTTCTCTTCTGTTCTTTGTAAAAGACATGCAGTGTTTCCATGTTTGGTCAACTGGAATACTACAAAATAATTCACTTCAAGACTGTCGCTTAATTCTCAAAATGGTATCCACAGAAAATAAGCTCTCAGTCTACTTGAATCATTGAAGGAATTACAAGTAATATTGAGGAAAGTTATTCAGATCAACTCCATTATAATTTTGATGGATCTAGCATACGACAATCTTTGTATTCACCAAAATTTGTGAATTCTTTTGTCTCAAAAATGAAATTCTCTTCATTATGAATGTCACTTCTTATACCCCCAAATTGATATCTACATAATTATAGAATCTCACTCATTACGTCTAGTCTAATTTCTGAATGTGTATATACAGTTCTAAAATAAAGAGTAAATTTTTAAAGCTAAGCAATGTAGTTAGAAACCAAAGTTTATATTTTTCAGTTCAGTGCACACCAGATTGACCTTAATAAAATAAAAATTTGCATCATATACAACCAGGTATTAAAGTATGAGGATCTGTGATTATAAAGTTAGGTAAAACCAAAGAGTTATATTGCCATATTTTTGTAGTTTCTAGACTTTCTCCACTTCAGTAACTTCAATTACTTACCTAAGCAAATTAGCATATGAAAAGATGTTCAAAATCATATGTCATTAGGGGATTGCAAGTTAAAATGTCAATGAGATACCATTTCACATTTAGTAGGATGGCCAAAATCCAAAACATTGACAATGCCAAATGCTGACAAGGGTATGAAAGAACAGGAACTCTATTCATTGATGGTGGATATGTAAAATGGTAGCTCCACTTTGCAAGACAGTCTAGCAGTACCTTACAAAACTAAACATACCCTCACCATATCATTCACAAATCATATGCTTTGAATTTTGCCTAAATCCATTGAAAACTTATTTTAAAAAAAATAACTTGCACATGGATGTTTAAAGCAGCTTGAATCATAATTGCCCAAACTTGAAAACAACCAAGATATCCTTCAGTAGATGAATGGATAAATAAACTGTGGTACATCCAGAAAATGGAATATTATTCAGCACTACAAAGAATCTCCATCTCCATAAAAAGAGATGGAAGAAACTTAAAAGCATATTATTAAGTGAAAAAGCCAATCTAAAGAGGCTATACATATTGTAGGATTCCAAATATATAACATTCTGGAAAAGTCAAAACTATGGATTCAGTGAAAAGATCAGGGGTTGTTAGGGGTTTGGTTGGGGGGAGAGATGAATAGCACGGCCACAGAGGATTTGTAGGACAGTGATACTATTCTGTACGATACACCCATAGTGGATAAATGGCACATGCCTTTGTGAAAACCCAAAGTATACACAATGCCAGCATTGAACCCTAATGTAATATTTGGGTAATGATGTGTCTGTGTAGATTCATTGATTGTTAGAAATGTGCCACTCTGATGCAAGATCTTCAATGTGGGGAAAGCTGTGAGTGTGGGTAAGGGGGTATGTACTTTCCACTCAATTTTCTTGTGTAGCTAAAACTGCTCTAATAAATTCTATTAAAAAAACAGACATTTAAAATATTATAAGAAGATAATATGGGGGAAGTGACAGTATGTGATCTTCAGAGCACAAGCCTCAGGAGGCCTGATTCTTTCTGCTTCCCCTTCATGGAATGCTGGTGAATTCAAGCAAACATTTATGGAAACTATAATAACAAGTCCAAGCAAGTATAGAGGAGGAAATGCTTCCCAACTCATTTTATGATGCTAGTATTATGTGATACCAAAACCAGCCAAATGATTTCACAAGAAAAGAAAACCTCAGACCAATGTCTCTTATGAACATGGATGCCAAAATCCCCAACATTTTAGCAAGTGAAATCCAACAATGTGTAAACTTTGCACTATAAATAACTTAAGTCAGGTTTAACACTTGAAAATCCATCAGTGCCATTCACAATATGAGCAGACTAAAGAAGAAAATTAATATGACTTTATTAACAGATACAGAAAAACATTTGACAAAATTCAAAATTAGTTTCTAATGAAAATTCTGAGCAGATTAGGAATAGAAGGAAACTTCTGCAAACTAATAAGAACATCTATGAAAAAAACCATAGGTAACATCATACCTAATGAAAGACCGAATGCGTTCCCCAAAAGATCAGGAAGAAGGCAAGCATACCCACTGTCACCACTTCTGTTCATCATTGTACTGGACATTACAGCCAATGCAAGTGGGGCTAGTGCAATGCCCTGAACGTTCCCCCGTGCCCAAATTCATGTGCCCAAACCCTAATCCCAATGCGATGATATTAGGAGGTGGGACATTTGGGAAGTGATTACGTCATGAGCGTGAAGCCCTCATCAATGGGATTATTGCCCTTATTAAGGAGACCCCAGAGAGCTCACTAGCTCTCTTTCTGCCACATGAAATACAAGAAGTTGGCAGTCTGCAACCTGCAAGAGGACCATCGCCAGAGACAGACCATGATGGAGCCCTGATCTCAGACACCCAGCCACCAGAACTGTGAGAAGTAAATTTTGGTTGTTTATTTATTTGTTATTATTATACTTTAAGTTCTAGGGTACATGTGCACAACATGCAGGTTTGTTACATATGTATACATGTGCCATGTTGGTGTGCTGCACCCATTAACTTGTCATGCACATTAGGTATATCTCCTAATGCTATCCCTCCCCCTCCCTCTACCCCACGACAGGCCCCGGTGTGTGATGTTCCCCTTCCTGTGTCCAAGTGTTCTCATTGTTCAATTCTCACCTATGAATGAGAACATGCAGTGTTTGGTTTTCTGTCCCTGTGATAGTTTGCTGAGAATGATGGTTTCCAGCTTCATCCATGTCCCTACAAAGGACATGAACTCATCATTTTTTATGGCTGCATAGTATTCCATGGTGTATATGTGCCACATTTTCTTAATCCAGTCTATCACTGATGGGCATTTGGGTTGGTTGGTTGTTTATAAGCCACCCAGTGAATGGTACTTTGCCACTGCAGCCCAAGTGAAGACAGCAAGTAAAACTAATAAAAAGTATACAGATTGGAAAAGAAGTAAAACCATCTTTATGTGCAGGTGACATGACTGTCTATGTAGAAATCCTATGGTAAGTAGTATAAAGAAGTAACTAGAATAATAAATAAATTTAGCAAAATTTCAGGATAAAGTATAAAAATCAGCTGGGCGCAGTGGCTCATGCCTGTAATTGCAGCACATCAGGAGGCTGAGTTGGGAGGATCTCTTGAGGCCAGGAATTCAGGACTAGCCTGGGCAGCATAGTGAGGCCCTGTCGCCACAAAAAAATGAAAAGAAATAGCTAGGCATGTTGATGTGTGCCTGTAGTCCTGGTTACTCAGGAGGCTGGGGTGGGAAGATCACTTGAGCACAGGAGTTTGAGGCTCATTGTCACAAACAAGTGTCAGAAGATATAGTGAAAAATGCCACACCATTTGTAATAAACACAAAATGTAAAAATAGTTTTGAGGCATGAAGAGGGCTTCACAGCACTGACCAACATTCTGTTTTTTTTTATTTGAATGGTTGTAGCTTAGATATAATATTTGAGGCTAAATTACTGAACTGTATTCGTGTTTCACGAACTTTTAAAATATCATCCAACATTTTCCTTCTTTTTTTTTCTTGTATTTCATGTATCCTGAGCCACGTGCATTTACAAATAAGAATGAAAAAATAAATGTAACTAAAAATGCTAATATATTTTTCTCATTTTACAAGGAATCATCTTGTGCACTCTCTGAATTGCAGCAATTTACTTTGAAGATGACTGGATTAGACAATGGTAACTAAATTTGTATAGAATTTTTATTTTATCAAGACATTCCATTTAAGACAAATTCAATATATCTTTATGATAATCTTTCTTGCATCATTTAACCCTTTTTCTCTATAATAGAGACTGCTATTTTCTTCCTGAAAATAAGTGGAGTCTTAGTAGAATATATGATGATAGGAAATAATTGGAATGAAGTGAATATATTTTCAACAACACTGAGTTTTATTTTAACACATCCAAGAAATAAAAAGCATGAAGTGTAAGTATTTAGTATTATTATTTTTCAATTGTACTTTAAGTTCTGGGATACATGTGCAGAACGTGCAGGTTTGTTACATAGGTATACACGTGCCATGTGGTTTGCTGGACCCATCAGCCCGTCATTTACATTAGGTATTTCTCCTTATGCTATCCCTCCCCTAGTGCCCCACTCCCTGACAGGCCCCAGTGTGTGATGTTCCCCTCCCTGTGTCCATCTATTCTCATTGTTCAACTCCCACTTACAAGTGAGAATATGTTGTGTTTGGTTTTCTGTTCCTGTGTTAGTTTGCTGAGAATGACATTTCCAGCTTCATCCATGTCCCTGCAAAGGACATGAACTCATCCTTTTTATGGCTGCATAGTATTCCATGGTGTATATGTGCCAAATTTTCTTTATTCAGTCTATCATTGATGGGCATTTGGCTTGGTTCCAAGTTTTTGCTATTGTGAAAAGTGCTTCAATAAACATATGTGTGCATGTGTCTTTATAGTAGAATGATTTATAATCCTTTGGGTATATACCCAGTAATGGGATTGCTGGGTCAAATGGTATTTCTTGTTCTAGATCATTGAGGAATCACCACACTGTCTTCCACAATGGTTAAACTAATTTGAAGTGTAAGCATTTATGTTTGGGTGTTATAGAGTTTAGCTGATCTTACTCCTTTTTATTAGCACATAATTAACATTGGTTCATGCAAGGTCTCTTCTTTATTTTGCTCTGTTTGATTTCATTGTATTTACTATTTGCCCTCACTCCTTAATACCATTACAATCCTGTTTTGTTATTTGGTTTTTGCTTCTCAAGAGTGATATCTCATTATTCTTCTTACTATTCACAATATTTCCAAGAAGTAGACTTTATGATATGGAAAAATTATTTTAGCATTACATGTGAGTGTGTGAATATAAATATCCACGTGTACAGGTATATATGCCACTGCAAGATCATCCAACATGTTCCTTCTTCTTCTTGTGTTTCATGTATCCTGAGCCACAATTTTTTGGTAGGATAGTTTTCTAGCTTAACATAAGGATTTTGACCCTTTGGTAGGGAACATGATTGAATGTGTTCTTCACAGTGCAAAGAATTCTTACCTGGGAAGCTGGGCTGGGTTCCAATCAGGATATGTCAAAAACCTACTCCGAGAATTGGGGAAAAGTAGTTCTTCATTTTGAGCCCATTTTCTCTCTCATCTTACAGACTAGTTGGTTCAAAATATTTGTAATACAATGGTTCCAGATGTTAGGATTTCAAAAGCAATTAAGATCAAGAAAAACATGTAGGCCAACATATGATTGCCAGTTTATAAAATTGTGCTAAGTCAACATATTTTTTCAAAAATATGTGTCACCACCAGTGGCATAATTTTACGGGGCAACATCTTCAAACCCAACTCCTATTTCCTCTACATATTCATCCATTTCGCAGCCTAACCAACATTTACAACTTTGAGTTCTGGAGTCTCCTAACACATGACCTGCCCAAAATTATTCAATTTCATTCTTCTGTAGCCTTGTTTGATAAATAATATCACCATTCTGCCTCTTAAGTTTGAAATGTCCAAGTATTTGCCTTTTTCTCTCTTTTACCATCTATTAAAACCTTTACAGTCAGAAAATCCTCTTAATTCTACATAAAACACATCCTTTAAATTGCCTCTCTTCACCCATCCTCACTGCCACTGCTTTAACCTTCTTCTTGAGTATTTTTCAGCTCTGTTATTCCAGCAATTCCCTAATTGTTTCTGCTCCTCTCTCTCCTCATGTGCATTTTCTGAGCTGTCATTTTTCACAATATGGAATCTGATTATGTCACACATATGCCTAAATTTTCTGCTGACTGATTAGTAAGAATTAATATTCCAAACTCCTCAGCTTGGCATATTGGATCTTTAAAAGTATTTAACTAATTTGCCTTTCCAGTTTTCATTTCCAGTTTCCCAACTGACACCCTATGCCTTTTTCATAGCAAATTTTTTTTTTATTTTCTGAGCACAACGCAATGATTTTTCCCATCCTGTGCCTGGTTTATTCTTCCTGGTATGTTGTTTTCTTCTCTTTGCTGGCTACATTTACTCTATTAATCAAATAATTCAGATAAATATTTCTTTACTTTATAAACTTGCATAGGATTAATCGTTCCTTCCTTAATTCCCTACCTGCATTTGGTTCTGTGATATTCTGAGAGAAGGAACAATTTTTTTTCACCGTTGTGTGCCAAGAGCCTTTTATCACCTGGAAAAATCAGATAAATTAAAAAATATATTTATGCAAAATATTGCATAAATATCAAGCTGTTGAATGGTCTTGCCTTTCATATGTAAAACAGTGGGGCTGAATATTAAGCTTTTTGAGGTCAGTTAAATAAGTATTGAACAATGTTATATCTTCTGTACTCAGTGCAGTGCCTATCACATAGCAAATTCTCAAGAAACATTTTTGAGCAACTGAATTACTAAATGAGTGAAGGCTGTGAGCATCACAGAGTAAACTCCTCATGAAAACTGAGTTGGAGGGCTATGAGAGAAGTTCCATTATCCTCAAATTCCACACCCATTGGCCTGAGGCAAAGGCTTACCCAGCAAAGCTAGTAGACCACTGACCTCCCAGGCTGGTAACTGTACGTTCACACCATATATTCTTGGTTTCTTCAGTGGGCAAAATTATGAATGAGCAGCTTTCCATGTAAGGTAATTGGTAATTGATTTATTAAGGCATGCTGTTTTTTGTTTTTTTCTTTTAAACCTTATCATGAATACTAACAAATCACTTCCACTGATGTTACCTGCTGAAATGGTTTCCAATAAGGTATACAAGAGAAAACTTTAGATATGGGAATAGGTAGATACAGGTCTGGAGTCAGGAAACTTCTTATAAAAGGGAGGCATATCACATATGTGGGGATTATGAAAATCTTTCAAAAAATGCAAAGATTATTCTTATGCATATTAAAAATTAATCACTGTAGTCTAAGAGTGAGGACTGAATATGGCCCTGGCTAGGATCAAACCCAAAGAATGGATTTTCCCCTAACAAGTTTTGGCATTTATTTTTACCAATCTTGGGGAAGTCTTAGGAGAGTCAACAAGTATTAATATAGCTTTGAAAGTATTTAATTGGAATAAATAGAATAACAAAATGTCTCTTGAATTTTTTATTGGAAAACTGGTGATGAGTTCATCTCTATCAGGTTCTGGAGGCTCTGCAACCACCCAAAAATATTATAGAATTTTGTGTGGGATTGATAGTTTGACAAAAACATTTAAAGGGAGAAACAACAAAACACACAGAAAAGGAAATTTTGTGCACAAACTAGAGTATCATTTGTTGAAGTTGAATACAATATAGAGATGAATCTCTAAAAACTTTAAAGAAGAAAACTTTAAAACATTTCTTTGGGAAGAAAGAATTGCAACTCAGAGCAAACACACAGATCAGGTGGTTTTTAGTATGTTTAAAGAACAAAGAGAAGGTTAGAGGTTTTACAAAGAAAGGAGAAATGTTGCATGGTGTTATTCCAGAAAGTTCATTGGCACTAGTAACGTTTTGTGAAGCTGGCAGGTTCTGGCTGGTTAACTGACAGTGGTGGGTAAAGCTAGTCTTAGAGTGGCAGCAGGTTGTTTCACAGCCATTAGATAAAACTGGTTTCAGGTTCCAGCAGGCAGCTTCAGCAGCCAGGCTTGCAGAGAATTACATTCTTGGAGCAAATTCATGTGCCCCAAGTGCTTTTCCCCCAGGCTTTTGACTCTGTTTTAGTTGGGTGTGACAAGAATGATGCAATTTGTATGATCAATTTTCACATATTGATACCTCACTTTGTGGTTTATAACACGTCATTAGCAACTAGTTAAGGATTAGTTTATCAATAACCATTAGTTTAAGTATGAACAAAGGAGGCAATATATATACAAAAACATTTTTAAAATCCTCAAATCTATTATTATATGTTCCCTTTTCAAGAAATACATGGAATTGGTCTCAGCCAATAAAAAGCAAATTAGAATGTCATCAGCATGATTTATATTCCTTTGGGTATATACTCAGTAATGGGATGGCTGGGTCAAACGGTATTTCTAGTTCTAGATCCCTGAGGAATCACCACACTGTCTTCCACAATGGTTGAACTAGTTTACAGTCCCACCAACAGTGTAAAAATGTTCCTATTTCTCCACATCCTCTCCAGCACCTGTTGTTTCCTGACTTCTTAATGATCGGCATTCTAACTGGTGTGAGATGATATCACATTTGTGGTTTTGATTTGCATTTCTCTGATGGCCAGCGATGATGAGCATTTTTTCACGTCTGTTGGCTGCATAAATGTTGCACACATATGTTTATTGCGGCACTACTCACAATAGCAAAGACTTGGAACCAACCCAAATGTCCAACAATGGTAGACTGGATTAAGAAAATCTGGCACATATACACCATGGAATACTATGCAGCCATAAAAAATGATGAGTTCATGTCCTTTGTAGGGACATGGATGAAGCTAGAAACCATCATTCTCAGCAAACTATCACAAGGACAAAAAACCAAACACCGCATGTTCTCACTTATAGGTGGGAATTGAACAGTGAGAACACTTGGACACAGGAAGGGGGACATCACACACTGGGGCCTGTTGTGGGGTGGGGGGAAGGGGGAGGGATAGCATTAGGAGATATACCTAATGTAAATGACCAGTTAATGGGTGCAGCACACCAACATGGCACGTGTATACATATGTAAAAAAACTGCATGTTGCGCACATGTACCCTAGAACTTAAAGTATAATAAAAAATATATATTAAAAAAAGAAAAGAAAAACTTCCGCCAGTTTTAAAGCAAAAAAAAAAAAAAAAAGAATGTCATCAGAAAGTTCTATTTTAGTTTATTGTCTAATGAAAGGCAGAATAACGTAATATAGTTCTCACCTAAGGTATTAACTCCATTTGAAAATTTACTTTCTGGCCAGGCGTGGTGTCTCATGCTTATAATCCCAGCACTTTGGGAGGCTAAGGCGGGTGGATCACAAGGTCAGGAGTTCAAGAGCAGCCTGGCCAACATAGCGAAACCCCATCTCTACTAAACATACATAAAATTAGCAATATGTGGTGGTGCACACCTGTAGTCCCAGCTACTTGGGAGACTAAGGCAAGAGAATCGCTTGAACCCGGGAGGCGGAGGTTACAGTGAGCCGAGATCGTGCCACTGCACTCCAGCCTCGGCAACAGAGCAAGACTCCGTCTCAAAAAAAGGGAAAATTTACTTAATTTACTCTCCAAAAGTTTATTTAGAAACCTTGCAAATATGTTTAAGGAGATTTCTTATTAAGTCTAAGATTGATCTCCTTTTAAATTTTCCCTTACCCGAGAAAAAGTCACTAGATCCCATGAAGTCTTAGTAACCAGAAAATTTTTGTCATGACTCTAGTAGAAATAGAGATGGCATAGCATTTCCAAGTAATTACTTTGAACTAGGCTTTAACTAATTAATTAATTTTAACAATTTTTTTTCTTATGCTGTCTCATTGAGTCAGTTCTTCCAGAAACTCAAATTAAGAACAAAGATAAATTGTTTACATTTTTTAATATATTCAAGGGGGTTGATTTTTTGTTTGAAAATCAGTAAAAGTTTGTAGTTAGAAGGTTGCTACCTCTTCTGGGGACTGTTGTAAGATACTGACTAAGATATTTGAATTCACAAACCTCTTCGCTATGGAATCTTTGCGGCAAGGGTCCTAGATAACCCCTTGACTTTGAACTATTTTTAGGTTTGCAAATGAGGAAACTACATCCAGAGAAATTTTTATGCAAGGCTATAAAGAGGGTGTTGGGACTCTGAGCCAGAATCAGGTCTCAAAATTGTTTCCTGACTCCCAGTCCTAGGTTTTGCAAACTCCCGAACATCACATTTCAATGAAATTTCTCATTGTTTCCATACCAGAATCCCTTGATAACTGTTGAATTTCCACCACCAAATCTTCATTCAGAAAGTTACAGAAGAATCAGAATTAGATACAACATTGCAGGGCATTTGTTTTAAACACAACTTCTCTGATCTAAATTAAATAAGGGCTAAGTCATTTTCTGAAATCCCAAATACAATAAAACCAAAAATAAAAAGGCTACATTATCTTCTGAAATGACTTGTCTGTAACAATACTTCAGTAAAAATGTTTTAAATAATCTTTTCCTATTTTCACAGAGAGAGTAGGAGAGAAAATGAGGATACTGGAAAAGACACCAGTAGAGGTAAGAAGACACAGAAAGTACTAAAAACAAAGTTTAATCAACATATACTTTCAGTATTATTTTTGTAAAGTCATTTCTAATCCTAAATTTAGGTATGCGTGTTTTTTGTTTTGTTTTTAGTTTTTTGTTTGTTTACCAAGTTTTCTTTATAAACATGTTGACTAAAATTGGTTCATATTCTACAAAACATTAAAAATTCTGTAGTACTTTTAAGCTGACAGGACTTCTCTGTATAAAGCAGAGTTAAGGGTTGCCTATTTGGTTAGTGATAATATACAGTTGCCCTATCTAATAAACACTGATTTACCTAGCTCTTTATGATTGAAATCTAAATATAACTGGAGACCATGTCATTTTCTAAATGAAAAGTTATATAAATCCTTAGAAAGTAATTCAGAACTGATAATATTTAGTTTAAAATGAAAATAAAGGGGGAAAAATATAACAAATATATGGAAAATCACGCTAGCATTTAGAATGTTTTATTGTAAATAATCTATTGCTAAAGTTTATATTTATTAAAGTGGACAATCATGGAAAGGGCAGTAACTTTGGAAGAAATAATTCAGCTGTAAAATTACAAAATAATTCTACATAATTTGTTGATCATTTTCCCCCACAGAATACCTAGCAAGTAGAATATATATAACCATATTGACATTGTAAAATGGGTAATATAGTTTTAGAGTGCTTTATTGAAATATTTGTCAAAGTTCCTGTACAGCTGACCCTTGAACAACATGTATTTTAACTGTGCCTCTTATAAATGGATTTCTTCCACCTCTGTCACCCCTGAAGCAGCAAGATCAACCCCTCCTCTTCCTCCTTTTCCTCATTCTACTCAACATGAAGACAGCAGGATGAAAAATTTTATGATAATCCATTTCCTGTTAATACAAGTGATATGGTTTGGCTCTGTGTCCCCACCCAAATCTCATCTTGTAGCTCCCATAATTCCCATGTGTTGTGGGAGGGACCTGTTGGGAGATAATTGAATCATGGGGGTGGTTTCCCCCATACCATTCTTATGGTAGTAAGTAAGTCTCATGAGATCTGATGGTTTTATAAGGGGTTTATGCTTTCGCTTCTCTCTCATTCTCTCTTGCTGCAGCCATGTAACAGGAAGGGTAACATCACACCCCGGGGCCTGTTGTGGGGTGGGGGGAGGGGGGAGGGATAGCATTAGGGGATATACCTAGTGTTAAATGACGAGTTAATGGGTGCAGCACACCAACATGGCACATGTATACATATGTAACAAACCTGCACGTTGTGCACATGTACCCTAAAACTTAAAGTATATTAAAAAAAAAAAAAGAAGTGTCTTTTGCCTTCTGCCATGATTGTGAGGCCTCCCCAGCCATGTGGAACTGTTAGTCTATTTTTCTTCTCCGTGTTAGGTATGTCTTTATCAGCAGCGTGAAAACGAACTAATATACCTGGTAAATATATTTTTTCTTCCTTGTGGTTTTCTTAATACCATCTTCTTTTCTCTAGCTTAGGTTTGGGGCAGCCAAAAGTTATACATCGATTTTCAACTGCACTAGGGGTTGATCCCCCATGTCGTTCAAAGGTCAACTGTAATTAGTGAAAAAGCAAGCCAGGAACAGAACATTGATGGTTGGAATAAAATTAGATCTTGAATTTAGATATTCTGATCCTAAATCCAATGTTCCTTGCAATAATATAACAACGAAAGTTTTAAAATACTCTTGGGAAAAGGAAGTAACATGAACCAGACTTACACCTGAAACAATTTAAAAAATCAGACAAAATATATGTAACAATTATTTTCAGGCATTGAACATCACATAGGGAAGAACAGTGATCCCTGCGAGAGGAGAAACACAGAAAGTGAGAGAACAAGGAGAGACCAGAATACTAGATGAAAGTGAGAAGGAGAGAAAGGGGGTGGTAGGGGAGAGAGAGGGGGAGAGAGGAATTTGCAGAGGTTTTCTTTCAAGTCTTCAGTTAAGTACTGATAAATGCATGTGAGGCAGCTACCTGAGGAGACAGAAGGTTCACTCAAAAGAGTTAGAGGAAACAATTTACAGAGATCACAAAGTGTGGGAATAGTTCTCTGTCTTACTAATAAATAAATTGTAATTTTGTGATTAGGAGACATTGGGTAGAGTACACAGAAGCATATTGCCTCTCAGCAGTAGAGCAAAATTAGCTATTGAATAAGTCAAACTTGTTCCCATCCGAAAGAACATGAGAGTAAGCCTCGAAAGGATAAAACTGCTTCCAGATACCTTCAAAATACCACAGAATAAAAATCAAGAATAGTTATAGTAACATTAAAAACATACAGGTTACAAAAATGTAAAATTTACAATGTTTGACATCTGATCCAAAGTTGCCAGCATGCAAAAAAGTGGAAAAATATGACCCATAATGAAGAGAAAAATCAATCAGTAGAAATAGACACATAAGGAATACAAATAATAGAACTGACAGACATGCATATTAGAACAGTTATACTTATTATGGCATATATATAAGAAAGGAAAAAAGAGGCTATGCCTGTTTAGTAGAAATATGAATGATATATTGATTCAAATCAAGCTTCTAGAGATAAAAACTACAATGTCAGAGGTAAAAATATAATTCATGGGAATGACAGCATATTAGATACTACAGACAAAAAAAGAGTATGAAGCGTATGTCAGGAATAGCAAGTATCTAAACAGAAACACAAAAAGAAAAGAGACTAAAACAAAGCAAAGGCACTAAATCATCATTCAAAAATAAAGCTGAAGTAAGGACTTTTTACTCATACAAAAGCTGAAAGGATTAACTATCATTAAACCTACTCTAGAAGAAATGTGGAAGAAAGTTGTTCAGCATAAGGAAAATTATATTAGATGGAAATATGGATCCATATAAAGAAATGAAAGTTGTCAGAAACGGTAGATACGTGTATGATGGTTAACTCTATGTATCCACTTGACTGGTTCATGGGGTACCCAGATATATAGATAAACATTATTTCTTTGAGAGTATTTCCAGATGAGATTGGTATTTAAATTGGTGCACTCCATAAGGTAGACCACCGTCCCCACTGTGGAAGAGCATTATCCAATCCGTGAAGTGTCTGAATAGAACAAAAGGCAGAGGAACAGGGAATTCATCACTCCTATCTGCCTGTTTGAGCTGGGAAGTTGGTCTTCTCCTGCCCTCAGACTGAGACGGCATTGCCTCCCCTGGTTCTCATGCTTTTGGATTCAGACTGAAGTATGCCACTTGCTTTCCCGGTTCTCTAGCTTGCTGATGGCAGACTGTGGAACTTCTTAGTCTCCACAATTGTGTAAGTCAATTCTCCATAACAAATCATATATATTCTATTGGAGTCTCTCTCTCTCTTTCATTTATACATACATGGCATATGGATCTGTTGGTCCTATTACACTATTATTGTCATACTTATTGATACACACATTATAAACCCATAATCATTATTCTTATTTTAAACAGTTAATTATCTTTATATCATCTTAAAATAAAAATTTTCTTTTTATACATATTATATTGGTCAGGGTTTTCTGGAAACAAAATCAATAAAATACAGAATCAATATAATCTCTCTCTCATATATAATCTTTCTCATCTCTCTCATATATGTATATATGAGAGATTATATGGATTATATTGATTCCCATATATATATGAGAGAGAGAGAGATTATATTGATTCTGTATTCTATTGATTTTGTTACCAGAAAACCCTGATCAATATAATATTTATTAAAAAGAATTTTTTTAAAATTCAAGATGATATAATTGTTTAAAATAAGAATAATAACAATGGATTATGGGGTTTATAATGTATGTATCAATAAGTATGATAATAATGGCATAATGGGACCAACAGATCCATATGCCTGCTCTGTAGTAACAGACCAATCACACTGAGAAAGCTGGGTTTACAGGAGAGAAAAAGGTTCATCATCACAGGGTACCAAACAAGAAGATGGGAGGAAACATTCAAATCCATTTCCTCGAGGAGTTCTGAGCTGGAGTTTTTAAGGGGATTGTGGATGATGAGGGGCTGGAAAATTTGGGTTGTTGACTGGAAATTGTGAGAGGGATGACATTGTGTCCGGAATTGGTGCATTCTTGGTCTGACTGACTTCAAGAATGAAGCCACGGACCCTCGCAGTGAGTGTTACAGTTCTTAAAGGCGGCGTGTCCAGAGTTTGTTCCTTCTGATGTTCAGATGTGTTCGGAGTTTTTTCCTTCTGGTGGGTTCGTGGTCTCGCTGGCTCAGGAGTGAAACTGCAGACCTTCCCGGTGAGTGTTACAGCTCATAAAGGCAGTATAGACCCAAAGAGCAAGCAGTAGCAAGATTTATTGCAAAGAGTGAAAGAACACAGCTTCCATAACGTGCAAGGGGACCCAGCAGGTTACCACTGCTGGCTCAGGCAGCCTGCTTTTATTCCTTTGTCTAGCCCCACCCACATCCTGCTGATTGGTCCATTTTACAGAGAGCTGATTGGTCCGTTTTGACAGGGTGCTGACTGGCATGTTTACAATCCCTGAGCTAGACACAAAAGTTCTCCAAGTCCCCACCAGATTAGCCAGATACAGAGTGTTGATTGGTGTATTTACAAACCCTGAGCTAGATACAGAGTGCTGATTGGTGCATTTACAATCCTTGAGCTAGATACAGAGTGCCGATTGGTGCATTCACAATCCCTTAGCTAGCCATAAAGATTCTCCAAGTCCCCACCCGATTAGCTAGACACAGAGTGCTGATTGGTGCATTTACAAACCTTGAGCTAGATACAGAGTGCCAATTGGTGCATTTACAATCCCTTAGATTCTCCATTAGATTCCTTAGATTCAATCCCTTAGATTCTCCCTTAGATTCCCTTAGATTCTCACAATACCTTAGATTCTCCCTTAGAATCCCATAAAGATTCTCCAAGTCCCCACCAGATTAGCTAGATACAGAGTGCGGATTGGTGCATCCACAAACCCTTGAGCTAGACACAGAGTGCTGATTGGTGCACTCACAATCCCTTAGCTAGACACAAAGGTTCTCCAAGTCACCAGTAGACTCTGGAGCCCCGCTGGCCTCACCCAGTGGATCTCCCACGGAGGCCGCAGGTGGAGCTGCCCGCCAGTCCTGCACCCTGCGCCCGCACTCCTCAGCCCTTGGGCGGTGGATGGGACCCAGCACCGTGGAGCAGGAGGTGGTGATCGTCAGGGAAACCCAGGCCGCGCAGGAGCCTATGGCGAGGGCGGGGCCGCCGGGAGGGTCAGCGATGCGGGGGCGGTGGGGGAGGGAGAATCACGCATGGCGGGCTGCAGGTCCTGAGCCCTGCCCCGCAGGGAGGCAGCTAAGGCCCGGCGAGAAATCCAGCGCAGCGCTGGTGGGCCAGCACTGCTGGGAGACCCGGCACACCCTCCGCAGCTGCTGGCCTGGGTGCTAAGCCCCTCACTGCCCGGGGCGGCAGGGCTGGCTGGCTGCTCCGAGTGCGGGGCCGCCAAGCTCACGCCCACCCGGAACTCTAAGTGGCCCGCAAGCGCCGTGCGCAGCCCCAGTTCCAGCCGGTGCGTCTCCCTCCACACCTCCCCGCAAGTGGAGGGAGCCGGCTCCGGCCTCGGCCAGCCCAGAGAAGGGCTACCACGGTGCAGCGGCGGGCTGAAGAGCTCCTTAAGTGCAGCCAGAATGGGCGTTGAGGCCTAGGAGGCACCGAGAGCGAGCAAGGGCTGTGAGGGCTGCCAACACGCTGTCACCTCTCAACATCATCAGGAATGCATGTGGAAACTGCATTGCTTGGTGAGTCAGCTTCTTGGGACCTTCAGACCAGCTGGTGTAAGTGGGATCCTTCAGACCAGCTGGTGTCAGTAATTTTTTGGGTAGGTAGGACCTGAAAGAATATCTCAAAGGGAAAATTTAACATTTTATAATATTGAAGTTGTTATTTATGGAGCAGTTAAGAGGAATTATAATCTTGTAACAGGGTCTACATAATTACAGGACAATAGGCAAACAACTATGAGGAAGAGGGTCAGAGAGTAAGCTAACCTAATGATTAATGCTGAATGTGTTGCAAGTTTGATTTGTTTTTATTTTCCCTCTTGCTTCTTCCTTGCTTAAATTTATAAAGTATATAGGGATGGTTTCAATAGCACCGAGACGGAGAGGGGCATATGGAAGCACAGTCTTAAACGATCTTTTTCAGATAGAGTGGTGTCATATTACTTGAACATAGGCTGTGGTAAGTTAAAGTGTGTACTAAAATATTAAAGCAACCACTAGAAAGAGAAACTAAATTGTTTTAGGTAATAAGCCAATTAAGGAGATTAAATGGACTCCCTAGTAATACTCAAACCAGAAGAGTACATAAATAACAACATATGGGAAAATGATAAAACAAATACCAAGATTATAAATTTAAATCTAACCATATATAAGCAAATTAAATGTTTCCTCCCCCAATTAAAAGGCAGAATAACCACACTAGTTAGATTCAAAAGCAAGATCTATGAATATGCTGACTAAAAGAAACCCGATTTAAATATAAAAACACAAATACATTACTCATACAAGGATGGAAGAAGATTATCATTTTAACACTGATTAAAATGTAGCTATATGAATATAAGAAAAAGTGGATTTTTCATGAAAGAATATTACCAGCAATAAGGAGAGTCACTTCATAATGATAAAGGAGTTAATTTTTCAAAAAAGCATAAGCATCCTGATCAAGTTTGGATGTTGTCCCCTCAAAATCATGTTGAATTGTGATCCTCAGTGTGGGAGATGGGACCTGGTGGGAAGTGATTGGATCATGGGGTCAGATTTCTCATGAATGGTTTAGCATCTTTCATTTGGTGCTGCCCTCCCAATAGTGAGTGAGTTCTCATAAGCTCTGATTGTTTCTCATAAGCTCTGATTGTTTAAAAGTGTGTGGCACCTCCTCACCAGTCTCTTATTGCTCCCACTCTCACCATATGAGACACTGGCTCCTCCTTTGCCTTCTACCATAATTGTAAGCTTCCTGTGGCATCAATGGAAGCCACACCATGCTTCCTGTACAGCCTGCAGAACTATGAACCAATCAAACCTGTTTTCTTTATAAATTATTCAGCTTCAGGTGTTTCTTTATAGTGATGCAAGAATAGCCTATTATACATCGTGAATGTTTAACTAACAATAGATTTTCAAAATGCATGAAGCAAAAACAGAGAAAGCTCAAACAGTATCACTCTATTTTACTTGACATTTATAAGGTACTTTCCCCAACAATGACATATATTCAATTTCAGATGAAACATTTATCAGGGTAGTCAAGTTTTGGACCACAGAATAAATCTTAATAAATTCTAGAAGGGCTCAATTTATACAAAATATATGTTCAGATCTTAATGGAATAAAATTCAAAATAAATAATAAAAAGATAGCTGAAAAAGTGCAAATATGTGAAAACTAAGTGGCACAAGTCTAAGCAATTCATGGGCCAAAGAAGAAATCAAAAGGAAAAACTTAAAATCGCTTTGAACTTAATGAAAATGAGAACAGAAGCTATCAAAAAGTATCATTTGCAGCTAAGGCAGTGCTTATATTGCAATTTCCACACAGGGGCCTGTTGTGAGGTGGGGGGAGGGGGGGATAGCATTAGGAGATATACCTAATGTAAATGACAAGTTAATGGGTGCAGCACACCAACATGGCACATGTATACATAGGCAACAAAGCTGCACGTTGTGCACATGTACCCTAGAACTTAAAGTATAATAAAAAAATAAAAAATGAAAAATAAATATATAAAGTCAGAAAAGGACTGAAATTAATGATCTCAACTCCACTTTAAAAAAATTAGAAAAAGAAAGGCAAATTAAAACCCCAAATAAGCAGAAGAAAGACAAGAACAGATATAAGAAATTAGAAAAACAATACAAATACTTAAAGACTAAATGAAGTTCTTTGAAAAGAAACCTCTAGCCAAGTTGATTTGGGGAGGAGGGAAGACACGAAACTAATTTCCAGTATCAGGAATGGGAGGAGAGAAATTAGTACAGAGCCTATAGAGTTTAATAGGCTAATAAGGAATATTGTGGGTAGCTTTATACTAATGTATTACAAATAGAAGAAGTATAAAAATGTCTTGAAAGATACAAATTGCTAAAGCTTCCTCAAAATAATACATAAAATAGATAACTTTATAGTGCTTTTCCTACTAAACAAATTGAATCTGTAAACAAAGAAAATTCCAGGTAAAAGCAGCTTTAGGGGTGACTTCTGTCAAACATTTAAAGATGAAGCCTATAATATGTTAGCAAATAACTCAATAAGAAAATTGGAAAAATATGAATAGACATTTAACCATAAAAGATACACAAATTCAAGATAAGCACATTAAAAGATGAGCAGTATCAGTAGCCAGCAGGGAAATGCAAATTAAAACAACAATGAGATATAATTACATACTCACTAGAATGGCTAAAATTAGAAATCTGACCAGAAAAATTTGGGCAAGGACGTGGAACCACTTGTCCTTTTATATCCTGTTACTGAGAATGTAGAAAGGCACAACCATCTTAGAAAACATTTACACACATACTAATAACATGACTTGGCCATGCCACTCGTAGGTACTTAAGCCGGGAGTAATAAAAGCATGTTTCCACATAAAGATATGTACACAAATGTTCATAAAAATTTTATTTGTACTAGCCTTAATCTGAAAGCAACCCAAATGCTCATCAATAGATGAATGATTAAATAAATTGTTATATTCTTGTAATGGTATACGAGTCAGCCACAATACATAATTTACTTTGTTTATATGCAACAACATCAATGAATCTCAAAATAATTTTTCTGAAATAAGCCAGATAAAAAAGAAGATATACTCTATGATTTCATGTATATAAAATTCTACATAATTTAAAGTAATCTATAGAGACAAAAAACAGATTCGAGATTCCCTGGGGATGGTGGTGAGGAGTAAAGAGGGAGGATGAGTGATTTCAAAGGTATACACGTAAACTTTTGGGGGTAATAAATATTTTTGTTACTTTGTTGTGATGGTTTTGTTGTGTGTGTGTGTGTGCGTGTGTGTGTGTGTGTAAAAACTGATTTTAAAAAGCATGCAATAGGCTGGGCGCGGTGGCTCACGCCTGTGATCCCAGCACTTTGGGAGGCCGAGGCGGGTAGATCACGAGGTCAAGAGATCGAGACCATCCTGGCTAACATGGTGAAACCCCGTCTCTACTAAAAAATACAAAAAAATTAGCCGGGCATGGTGGCGGGCACCTGTAATCCCAGCTACTGAGGAGGCTGAGGCAGGAGAATGGCATGAACCCGGGAGGCGGAGCTTGCAGTGAGCCGAGATTGCGCCACTGCACTCCAGCCTGGGGGACAGAGCGAGACTCCGTCTCAAAAAAAAAAAAAAAAAAGCATGCAATATATATGCAGTTAATTTTATGTCCATAAAGCTGTAAAAACTATTCTTGCCACTTCCTTGATGAGAATATTAGAAAGGTTAATAATACATTTCTGAACTAATGGCTGAAGAATGAACACTATACGACTTAAATTGACACGAGACATAAAATGTTACTTATCTTACATGATATTTGCACTTGCCAAACTGAGAGTGACTCAAATGTCCATAAATAGGTGAAAGATTAAACAATGTATGGCATATTTTTACAATGGTATACTACATCGCTGTAATAAAGAATTAACATTGGTTAAATGTAACAACATGGAATGAATCTCATCATTATGACTACCATCCCCAAATGCATAAGAACATTTGAGTAACAGGGTTTTCAAAAATAGTGAATATTTTAATGATGGTATTTTTGCCAGCCTGCTTCCCATGAAAAGGATGCATTCAATGACATCCCAACAGAAAAAGCTAAACAACCTCTGATTATATCGGAGTGGAATCTTAAATATTATTCAGTATAAGTTGGAGTGATTTTAGTGTTTGCATTACTAGAATTGTCTTGTTATATTTAAAGTGAAGAGGATTTTTAAAGTTCAATTCAGTACTGAAAGTTTAAGTGAAATTGATGAGTAGTAATCTGACTAATTTGCCACCAAGTTATTTTGAGAATATATGGTAACTTTTACTATAAGATATGTCTTAATTATAGGATACTTGAGGTTATTTTAACATATAAAATAGACTAAAAGAAATAATTTTGTGTTTACCTTCATTTTGAGAGGCTGCCACCTATGTATTTGCTTATCTCTGTGTTTTAATATCTTACCAGTGATATGAGTACATAATAACACCAAGATTTTGCAGCTTTAGAAACATTATTATCATTTCAGGCCTAGTTTTAATCACAAATACTTGAGGACAAATTTTGTATCTAGAAGTGTAGCTTTTCCTTTGTTCTTCATTTCCAGAATTGTCTTGGCTACATTTAGATTCTTGTTATTACACAGGATCTTTTGAATTCATTTTTCTAAATACATGAAAAGTACTATTGAGATTTTCCTTTAATTCATTAACAGGTAAAATTTTTATCATGCTTTTGAGTATTCCCATTCACTAACTTATTATATTTCATCATTTATTCATGTTCCTTTAATGTCCTTCAATACAATTTTGTATTTCTTTCATATAGCCCTTGCACATTTGTTGCTGCTGTCATTGAAATTATTTCCTGTTTCTTTTCCTGTGTGTTTCCAGTTAGAGTAAGTGTTAAGATACGGGGAGGGGGGAGGGATAGCATTGGGAGATATACCTAATGCTAGATGACACATTAGTGGGTGCAGCGCACCAGCATGGCACATGTATACATATGTAACTAACCTGCACAATGTGCACATGTACCCTAAAACTTAGAGTATAATAAAAAAAAAAAAAAAGATACATTCCTAAGTGAGATTTGCAGGAAGGAATTAAAGTATCAGCCTTTTTGTAACATACACCTGTTGCATTTTACCTGCTACCTCACATAATGGGGCATTTGCCTGTCCTGCAAATGCGCCACTTACCCTGGATCTTTTTGCAGCATTTTCGCCACCTGATCCAGAGGTGCATTCAGTTCCGTCCTGATGGACACCGGCTTCTTCTGCAAAGAAGCTTCTATTTTCCTGGCTTTGAATTGAAAGGCTGGATTAGAGATTTCAAAGTTAGTTTCTATATCTAAAAATTAATAATGATTTTATCTTAATACTCTCATGTAAAATATTACTCATTTATAATTACATAATTTATTATGCAGTTAATGTGGCCACTAAAGTAAATATTATAAATGATCTAACTCTGCCATGTTAGCTTTCAGATGTCCCCTACCCTCCAGATCACAGGCGTCAAGACTGAGACACAGGTTTTAGTCCATCCTTATGGGTTCCGGCTTATGTTGTGGTTTCAGGTTGTCCTTGCTGTCCTTTACTTATATCCATTTTCTCTTTCCAAAACTTTTCTTATAGACTTTAAGCCCCAGTATCAGACTCTGAATTTACACACACAATTTTATACCTCTATCTATCTATTTATCTATCTATCTATCTAATCTATCTATCTATCATCTATCTATCATCTATCAGTCTAGGCTTCAGCCATCTACTTATATCCATTTTCCCTTTCCAAAACTTTTCTTGTAGACTTTAAGTCCCAGTATCAGACCCTGAATTTACACACACAATTTTATAACTCTGTCTATTCTATCTATCTATCAGTCATCTATCTGTCTAGGCTTCAGCCACTTTGAGGAAAGTTTCACTTTTTATAATGGGTTCTTGATCTTATTTCTTGGGTGATAAAACTTTTAATTATACATTCACAGTGCCACTGTCCATGGAATACTGCCTTAACCATTTCAAAGCCCACGTGTTAATTTAGGCTATGTTATACAGATAGAAATCCCTAGCACTGTATGGAACAGAGTAGATTCAAATATAGCAACCTAAACTAAATATGTCCCAGCCACTAATGCATTTTACTCTTCAGTGGATTTGTGTACTTAAGTGAGTCATTGGCTTTAGTTACTCCACAATTTGTAAGGCCAAAATGTTTATAATACAATGTGGTTTTTACTTA